>NC_000002.12:25691573-25843088 GCF_000001405.40 Homo sapiens | reverse complement strand
GACCTTGTGATCCGCCCGCCTTGGCCTCCCAAAGTGCTGGGATTACAGGCGTGAGCCACCGTGCCCAGCCAAAACCCCGTCTCTATTAAAAAAAAAAAAATTAGCCAGGTGTGGTGACGCTTGCGTGTAATCCCAGCTACTTGGATGGCTGATGCAGGAGAATAGCTGGAACCTGGGAGGTGGAGGTTGCAGTGAGCTGAGATTGCACCAGTGCACTCCAGCCTGGGCAACAGAGCGAGACTCTGTCTCAAAAAACAAACAAACAAACAAAAAAAACATATATATATATATATATACACACACACACACACACACACACGTGCACACACGCACACACATACATACATATATATAGATATATACATCTATCTATCTATCTATCTATATATATATATACACACACTTGAAGAATTAGCTTTTAAAAGTACCTTTTGTGGGCTGGGCGCAGTGGCTCATGCCTGTAATCCCAGCACTTTGGGAGGCCGAGGCAGGCAGATCACTTGAGGCCAGGAGGTCTTAATGTCAGTATCATCCAGCTGTAACATAGTAAGGCTCTGGGACTTTAAACTTACCATGATCATTTCCAGGGAGCAAGCAGGAATAGTAAATAAATAAAGATTATTAAAAACAAACAAAAACAGCAGGAAAAAATGGAAGAGTTTTTTTTCAAAAGGTAGTAAAGTGTGAATCATCAGATAGCTTCTGGTTTACATAGTGACAATTGAAAGTAGCTTTTCCTGGTTAAACTATATTGTGGTAATGCAGTTACAGCACAACAAAGCAGTACATGCTGACCACCCTTAGCAGGGAATGTGCTTTCGCTCACCTATTGGACAGTTAAGTCTTTTAGGTCTCCATTTGGATACCTCTTTTTCAGAGACAATTTTGGTTGACTTACTGGTCTTGATCATATCTTCTTATTTTAGTTTGTTGTAGTGTTCTGTGTTCTTTTCTTTTTTTTTTTTCTTTTTTTTTTGAGACAGAGTTTTGCTCTTGTCGCCCAGGCTGGAGTGCAGTGGCGCGATCTCAGCTCATTGCAACCTCTTTCTCCCGGGTTCAAGTGATTTTCCTGCCTCAGCCTCCCGAGTAGCTGGGTCTATAGGCACGTGCCACCATGCCTGGCTAATTTTTTTTTTTTTTTTGAGACAGAGTCTCGCTCTGTCCTCCAGGCTGGAGTGCAGTGACGCCATCTCAGCTCACTGCAAGCTCTGCCTCCCGGGTTCATGCCATTCTCCTGCCTCAGCCTCCCGAGTAGCTGGGACTACAGGTGCCTGCCACCACACCTGGCTAATTTTTTGTATTTGTAGTAGAGATGGGGTTTCACTGTGTTAGCCAGGATGGTCTCGATCTCCTGACCTCGTGATCCACCCTCCTCGGTCTCCCAAAGCTAATTTTTGTATTTTTAGTAGAGACAGGGTTTCACCAAGTTGGCCAGGCTGGTCTCGAACTCCTGACCTCAAATGATCTGCCCTCCTCGGCCTCCCAAAGTACAGGGATTACAGGCATGAGCTACCGTGCCTGGCATGTTCTGTGTTCTTTATAGCACTAAGGTTTGAAATTATATATGTTTGTGGTGGTAAAAAAACATACAATTTCTCTGTACCTTACGTTAAGGTAGCTCCAGAGGCAGTGACATTATCTTTCCCCACTCCTCAGCATATGATGCATAACAAGTATTTAAAACCTACTTGTTAATGAATATATGAGGTATTATTAGTTGGAAGATCATATTCATATATAATTATAGATTATTCTCTCGCTGCCGTGATGTGTCAAATGGCACTTTTTTCTCTGAGGCAGGGTCTCACTCTGTAACCCAGGCTGGAGTGCAGTGGTGCAATCTCAGCTTAATGCAGCCTTGTCCTTTTGGGATCAAGCAGTCCCATGACCTCAGCCTCCTAAGTAGCTGGGTTGAGAGGTGCATGTGCCACCATGCCCAGCTAATTTTCGTATTTTTTGTAGAGGCAAGGGTTTCGCCATCCAGGCCGGTCTCAAACTCTTGGACTCAGGTGATCCTCCTGCCTTGGCCTCCCAAAGTGCTGGGATAACAGGCGTGAGCCACCATGCCTGGCTGGTAGTCTTATACTCTTAAAAGTTTTTAGAAAGATTACAGAATGAAACACGTACTATGCTTCTTAAAGGTGTGTGACTACTTACTGTTTTATTTTCATTCCTCGGACCTTAATACATGACTTTGAGCTCTACTCCCTTTATATTTTTCCTTTGGCTCCCAGATTTTGAAGAATTTTGCCTAGATTCAATACCATTTTTGTTTGATTTTAAAATTTATTAAAGTGGTAACAACTGAAATATTTATGAACAGATTAATGAATAAACAAAATAAGGTATATGCATACAATGGAATATTATTCAGTCTTAAGAAGATATAAAATTCTGATACATGCTACAGTATGGATGAACCTTGAAAACATTATGCTAAGTGAAGTAAGCCAGACCCAAAAAGACAAATATATGACTCCAGTTACATGAGATACCTAAAATAGGTAAGTTCATAGAGAGAAAGTAGAATAGAGGTTACCACAGACTGGAGTAGTGGGGAATAGTGAGTTTCTATTAAATGAGTACAGAATTTCTGTTAGAGACGTTGAAAACGTTCTAAAGATGGATGATGGTGACAGTTGCACAGCATTGTGAATGTACTTAATGCCACTGATTAAAAACGGTTAAAATGGTAACTTTTATGTTATGTGGGTTTTACCGCAACCAACCAATAAAATATTTAAAAAGAAGTGGTTGGCTCCTAGCTGCGAAAGATTCAGGTACTAGCCCCTTTAAGAAGTTAGGTGGTAAGATTGGAAATCATTTATCCAAAGTATGGAACTCTGAGAATTAATTAGAAACGTGAATTCCTTTTTTATTTTTTTATAAAAGCATTACAATATTTAAATTAAATGCCTGTTTATAACTATAAAGCATAGCAGCATTTTAGAAAATAAGAAAAAGGTCCTTAAATTTTTCCCCTCACGAGGATCTGTGACTTTTTGTATTCCATTATGTTGTTTTTATGCATTAATGCACTAATTTTAAAGATAGTTTAAGCTGGGCATGGTGGCTCATGCCTGTAACCGCAACACTTTGGGAAGCTGAGACGAGAGGATTACTTGAGGCCTGGGGTTTGAGACCAGCGTGAACAAGATAGCGAGACCTTGTCTTTACAAAAAAAAGAAAAAAAAAAAAAAGAAAACATGGTAGTGCAAGCCTATAGTCCCATGAATATATGTCCTATGAATATATGAGGTATTATTAGTACCTCGTATATTAATAATAATCACCTCAGGAAGTGTCAGAGGTGATTCAAACTCCAGCCTCCCAAATATGCTGGGAGGCTGAGGCAGGAGGATCACTTGAGCCCAGGAGGTCAAGGCTGCAATGAGCCGTGATCGTGCCACTGCACTCCAGCCCTGGGCAACAAAGCAAGACCCTGCCTCTTAAAAAAAAAAAAAAAAAAAAAAAGATAGAATTTCCCATAGGAGTAATAGGGAAGAAAAAAGACAGAAGTTTGGATGTTTCAGGTGAAATGGGAGGACATGACTTAGGCCAGGAGAGGTTAAGAACTGTTTCTGTTACACTTAGTAGTCAGAGTCAATAGCAAAGGCATTGTGGAGTTCTTTAAATTAGCTTAGTTCTTTTTGTAACAGTTAAAACAAGAAGACATGAAAAGTTATACTATAGATAAATGCTGTAGCTGTGATATCTGGTCATTTGTAAGTAGAGAAGAGTTAATTCCCATACTGTTTACCAATAAACAGTTATTTCATAAAATCAAAAATAGTAAAAAGAATTTTGTTGAGAGATGTCTCACCTCCTTGTTCAATTTTCTGTGGCTAAAATATAACCTAATTTCTGTTTGTTACATAAATACCAATGATAATGTGGCAGTGGTTTCCTAGGGTTGAGCTCTTCAACACAGAATTGCTTGTTCCAAATTTGAAGTACTGTTAGAACCTTTAAAACAATTTTGTAAGCTTTTACTCATTTGTTTTTCTGTAGACAGTTTGCTTTTTAAAAATCTATATTATTCATTGGGTAGAGATTTTGTTTATTGGGTTTGTTTAAGGAACCCCTATTCTCATTATTACAGCTCATGTGTTGATTCTGGATTATACTGTGCATTTGTATGAATCTAAATATTGAAGGAATGGTTAGGTATTTTGTTTCCCTCCTGAGACACTGGAAATAAAACCAAAGATTCAGAGAGATGTGTCCATTTTTGTGTACATTTTGACGGTATACTTCAGTTACTAAGGGAAACGATTCAGAATTTTATTTTACCTTGAATCAAAGTAACAGTTATGGCAAAATGGTTGTCATTAGCCATCAGTATATAAAATAGCCTTTTTAAAAAAGCGCTTTCCTTTTTGTCTGATGATGCTGATTTTACAGTTTGCAGAGAAACAAAGAGCACCTAGTGCCCCAGTTTAAGTTTCTCCCGACTTGTGCCCATATTTCTTCTTGTCATTACAAACTATTTGTCAGGAGTGTCAGAGGTGATTCAAACTCCAGCCTCCCAAATATGCTCACATGGCTACTCCCACACAGCTTAATGGAACTGTTTCTGGGATTTTGGGCATTGATAAGTTAAGAGTTCTGTGTAAGTCTCTGAGCTATACACTTCTATAGTTCTTATGGTCTGATCAGAAGACCAGAAAGTACACAGTAATTTGAACAGGAAAGTTATTAACTGGAACTTATTAACAGATTAACCAGGGATTAACTATTCAAAGGTAAAAAGAAAGCAGGGCTCTAGTTCAGTGGATGGCAAAGTTCATTGGTGCTGCAGCCTGAGGTGGCCACAGGAAACTGCCTACTAGGTACTAAAAGAGCTTAGCTGAAAAGCCCTCTGCTGGGGAATCTGTCCCACCTTTTGGGGAATAAATATTAGCTACTACATATTTATGTAATACATAAAAATATACAGGTACAGCTGAACACATGAGTGAATGTAACTTCTTTCTTTTTCTTTCTTTCTTTTTGAGATAGTCTCACTGTCACCCAGACTGGAGTGCAGTGGCACGATCATGGCTCACCGCAGCCTTGACTTCCTAAGTAGCTGGGACCACAGGCGTGCGCCACCGTGCTTGGCTAATTTTTTGTGTTTTTTTTTTTTTTTTTTTGTAGAGACAGGGTTTTGCCATGTTGCTCAGGCTGGTCTTGAACTCCTGGACTCAAGTGGTCTGCCTGCTTCGGCCTCCCAAAGTGCTGGGTTTACAGGCATGAGCCACTGCACCTGGCCGCCTCTTGGTTTTGTTTTATTTTGTTTTTTAATCACGGCTCACTGCAGCCTCAACCTCCCAGCCTCAAGTGATTCTCCCACCTCAGCCTCCCTAGTAGCTGGAACCACAGGCACACACCACCATGCCTGGCTAATTTTTAAATTTTTTGTAGAGACAAGGTCTCTGTGTTGCACGGGCTGGTCTCAAACTCCTGGGCTTAAGGGATCCTCCCACCTTGGCCTCCCAAACTGCTGGGATTACAGATGTGAGCCACAGTACCTGGCCTGAAGACGCTTTTTTAAAATATAAATTTTTACTTTTCGAAAATTGTAAAAACAAAAGGATACATCCTCCATCATAAACTATAAATAGTATTTACACCCTGGGCTGTTCTGAAATAAATTGCAGTCATTTTATCACATGAATATGTCACTTTATATCTAACAGATAAGAACTTGAGACTAGTTGTATGCAATTTGGATATTCTGGCTTACAAAAAATAGAACAATTAAATCTACACATTAAGCCTACACACTGTTGACAGAATACACGCCCTGAATATTCTTTGAAACCATGCCTATTAATTCTTTACTGTAACTACTCATTACTACTTCTGTGCTTAGGCTAGATATACAATAGGTTTTTCCCTTCCATCAGCTGTGGCTGCCATTAGTGTTTACAGATGTGCTTTTATAGCATTAAGTGTCGGACTTAATGCCTTCCTTCTGAAGTAGCTATTGCCTTTAGTGCTTCCCACGCCCCCCCCCCCCACCCCCCTTTGGAGTTTCCTTAACCTGCTTTGCTCGTCTTATTAACTGTAATATCTTGACTCTTCTATCAGCTAATAGAGAAATAGAGTTTTTAGGAAAGAAGAGAAAAATAGTAAAATATTCAGTTCTTGAGACCCTATTCTCTGACTAGTTTTTCTTGTCTTTCCATTCATGAATAGAAGAGGGGAAATAAATTAGGAAGATTATTTGTTCGTGAATTTATTGTCCACAAATTTGGCATTTTATGAATTAGACCATTCATGAGTGATCCCAAGGGTTCATGATATATAATTAGTAATTGTGGTGAGTTTGAATCTTTCACACTATAAGATTAGTATAGGTGAGTAAGTTATATAGCTAATGAATGAGTGTGGCCAACTGCCTAGATTGTAAAGAACTCTGGGAACCACCCAGCAAAGATTATGCTCAATAAACATTTTAGAGACTGAGATTTTACCTCTGTCTGGGGGAGTCCTAATGACATCTGATTAGTACTAATTTGTTTATGAAGAAAATAATCTCTTTCATACAGTATTTAAGGTTATATGTTTTAGCTTACTTTATACTAAAAACCAATCAGAGCACCTATTTTTTTTCCCATATCTCTCCACATGCAAAAGTGTATATAGCAAGGGAAATAAAGTCAATATTCTCTACTACTTTTCAGCAGAAATCCTTATCCCTGCAGAGTAGATCATTTGATTATTTGCCAAGCTGAATTGCCTTGAAGTGATTTCATTAGAAAGAGCTTAGTTTTAGAATGAAGAACATTATTTGTATTGATAATATATCTAAGGTTGGAGGATTCCTTTGTGGTTAAGCCTGCATCTTCCTCCTCTTTTTCTTTTTAAACATTTTAAAAATATTTTTTGTAGAGATGAGGTCTCACTATGTTGCTCAGGCTCATCTTGAATTCTTGGGCTCAAGCAATCCTGCTTTGGCCTCGGCATGAGGCACTGTGCCCAGCCATCTTCCCTATCTGTTAGTTGCAATCTGCTTTCAAGCCCACAAACCTGGTAGGGATGTCAAGAAGGATTAGTAATGAAAAAAATGACAACAAAATGCTTGGATATTGACAGAAAAGAGTATTCTTATCCATTGTAATTCAGATCCATAAGAGCTCCATTATGTATCACAGGGAAGCTAATAAACCTTAAGTCCACAGCTGATGGCGTTATGATGGCTCCTTGAAATTGAAATGCATGGGAAGAATATTAAAGAATGGGAAGTATTCATTGTATCCACATTTAAATGCCCTAACAGTTTTACTCTGTTACATAATCAAATTACTGCAACTGTTTTCTGAAGTAGTTTAGACTGTTTAGCTAAATTTGTTTATCTTTAGACATTTTGATATGATATTTTTGGCTAATTTATAAATTTTAATGAAGAAATTAATGAGGGGGTTACTAATTTGGGGAATTGTGGATATTGCTGGGATGGGAAGGGACAGTTTAATTTTTGGTTTTATTGTTGCTTTGTAAGAAAAATTAAAAGCTTTTTTTTTCCTTCTTTCATTTTCCTGCACTGCATTCCAACTCCAGAAGGTAAGAAGTATTACTTTATTCTAAAGAAGTATTATGCAATTATAAAGCACACTTTTATAAATTTAATTGAACTTACCTTTGGATGCATGAGTTTTACTTTATAAAACTAAATAATTAGTCCAGAAACTAAGTAATATCGATATTATTATGTTAGTGTTTATTCGTTAAGTGTGCTTTGTTTGGTTCTTGCAGTTTGTAATTATTGTTTGATCATAAGTTTAGAAATCCGATCTACATTAAGGTTTATTAAAATCAACATTTGACTTATAAAAGCGTTGGGATGCCAAGTATTCTGCAGAGTAATAATGAAAGTATTTAGTAGACTGGAAACATGTATATTAACATTTGCTTTATGGCTGTAAGATTGAAAATGTATGTTTGTGCTCTTAATTTAGATAAAATATTGGTAAATCGGCTGGGCATGGTGGCTCACACCTGGTAATCCCAGCACTTTGAGAGGCCGAGGTGGGTGGATCACTTGAGGTCAGGAGTTCGAGACTAGCCTGACCAATATGGTGAAACTGCATCTCTACTAAAAAATCCAAAAATTAGCTGGGTGTGGTGGCCGGCGCCCGTAATCCCAGCTACTCGGGAGGCTGAGACAGGAGAATTGCTTGAACCCACAAGGTGGAGGTTGCAGTGAGCCGAGATCATGCCACTGCACTCTAGCCTGGGCAACACAGCAAGACTCCGTCTAAAAAAAAAAAAATTGGTAAATCCTTTAGGGGCATGATACTTAAAACCAGGGCAGAATGGGTTAAAAATCAGTCTGGATCCTTTACTGAATTGACTTTTTGTGTGTGGGCATGGCCTTTTAGATTCACCTCCACTATAGCAGTTCCCGTGTTACACGCCTGTGAGACCTGAGGGCAACAGTCGTATTGCCTGTGAGACTTGAGGGCAACAGTCATGCCCATGTATTTTCATGTTACTTGGACATGGCATGCTTGGGTTATAATTAGAGCGTAGTTAGTCTTTTTAACTCTAGTTATATTTGTAGTCCATTAAGTTCATTTGTAAGAACCTGTTTATTGTAAGCAAGAGTTTGTGGATGAAAGCTTAATTAAGGTCTTACAAAGTTAAAATTATAATTAAAAAATAAAATAGGTATATTTTGTTTTGTGTTATGTTTGTTTGAAGGGAGCATGTATTTGATTTGTTCTTATTTATTTATTTATTTTTTTGGAGACAGAGTCTCACTCTGTCACCCAAGCTGGAGTGGAGTGGCATGGTCTCGGCTCACTGCAACCTCTGCCTCCCAGGTTCAAGTGATTCTTCTGTTTCAGCCTCCCTTGTAGCTGGGATTACAGGTGCCTGCCACCAACCCCGGCTACTTTTTGTATTTTTAGTAGAGACGGGGTTTTACCATGCTGGCCAGGCTGGTCTTGACTTCCTGACCTCAAGTGATCTGCCCGCCTTGGCCTCCCAAAGTGCTGGGATTACAAGCGTGAGCCACTGCGCCTGGTCATTGATTGGGTTCTTTAAGTGCAAATGATAGGAACCAAATGTGAATAACTTAAGCAAAACAAGATTTATTTAAAGAATATGGGAGCAGAGGCAAGACTCAGACTCAAAGGCAAGAAACGGGCTCTGAAATTAGGAGAAGGAAGGCAGCTTCAGAGATCAGGTAGATAGAACTAATGCATAGTCTCATCAAGACACTGCAGCTGGGCTAAATTAGTCATTGTCTACTCTGCTCAAGGTTAAACTTTAAGGGAAGAGTGAACTTGGTTGGCCCAGTGCCCAGGGATGGTGAGATATCTTGATGGACAGTCTTACCAAGACTATTTCCAGTAGGGGAGGGCATAGTTCCCCAAAGCAAAATTAAGCTTTTTTTTTTTTGAGACAGGGTCTTGCTCTGTTGCCCAGGCTGGAGTGCAGTGGTGCAATCTCAGCTCACTGCAACCTCTGCCTCCTGAGTTCAAACAATTTTCCTGCCTCAGCCACCTGAGTAACTGAGATTACAGGCGCACGCTACCACGCCCAGCTAATTTTTTGTATTTTTAATAGAGATGGGGTTTCACTGTGTTGGTCAGGCCGATCTCAAACTCCTGGCCTCAAGTGATCTGCCCACCTCAGCCTTCCAAAGTGCTGGGATTACAGGCATGAGCCACCATGCCCAGCCAAAATTGAGCATTCTTTGCAGAAGAAGAGGGAATGGATATTGGCCAGGAATAAACAACAGCTGTCCATTGCTCACTATAGAAAATTAAAGTACAACAGAAAAATGTAAGCCATAAGCAGTTGTAGGAAGTAACCTTTTATGCAGATTCTCCTAATGGTAACATTGTACAAAACCATAGTGCAGTGTCACAGCGAGAATATTGTTTCTGATATAATCCACCTGGTTTTACTGGTACCGGGGTGTGTGTATGTGTGTATAGGGTGCTATGTGGTTTTATCACGTGTATAGATTCATGTACCTACCACCACACAAGATACAGAATACTTTCAACAAATATCCCTTGTGTTCCCCTTTTAAAACCACATGTACTTCCCTAGTACCCCTTGCCCCCCTTCCTTATACTAGTCCGTCCTACATTTCTATAATTTTGTCATTTCAAGTGTTTAATGGAATCATAGAGTATGTAACCATCTGGGATTGGCTCCCCCCGCAGCCCCCATTCATTGTATGTCTCTGGAGAGTCCTCCAAGTTATTGTGTTCATAGTTCATTCTTTTTTATTGCCGAGTAGTATTCTTTGACATGGACGTGCGACCGTTTCTAACTGTTTATCCGTTGCATGATATCTGAATTGTTTCCAGGCTTTGGCTATTAAAAATAAAACTTCTATGAACATTTGTGTAAATGTTTTTGTATGGGCATACATTTTCCATTCTCTGGGATAAATGTACAGAAAGTGCTGTTGCTGGGTTGTGTGGTAAGTGCATGTTTAATTTTAAAGACACCTTGAAACTGTAAATGAATTTCTTGTAAACTGCATAGTTTAGAATTTTTTTTTTTTTGGCCCATGCTGCCAATCCTTGCCTTTTAATTTGTGTGTTTACACCATTTATATTTAAAGTAATTGTTGATAGGTGAGTTTGCCTTTTTGTTTTTTTGTTTTCTGTTTCCTCTATTTCTCATTCCTCTGTTTCTCTTTTCTTGACTTCCTCATGGATCATATTTTAGGATTCTGTCTTGATTTATTTATAGTATTGTATTTCTTTGTATGTCTTTACATGCTTTTCTTAACTGTTTCAACTGGGTATTACAATATATACACGTGATTTATCACAGTCTGCTGATAATCATTTTACCACTCTAAGTGAAGTGTGGAAACCGTACTTCCATTTAGATTCTTGAGTATGAGATGGTATTAACATTTGTGTTCCAGTCATGAAATGTGATTTATAAAATTTATGAGAAGCATAGTCTGTGGTATATACCTATTCCTGTTCTTTCTGTTTTTTCTTCCTGGTGCTACAGGATTGCTTCTTTTATCATTTCCATTCTATTGAATGACTTCCTTTAGTCATTCTTTAAGAATAGTTCTACTTCTCTTAGTAAACTACTTTTAGTTTTACTTAGTCTGAAGCTGTTTCATCAGATATAGAATTCACAATTGACAGTTCTTTTCATTCAGCACTAGTGAAATGTCATGCCACTTCCTTCTGGCCTATGTGGTTTTAGGCGAGAAATCTATTGTCATTTGAATTGGTGTTTCCCTGTAGTAATGTGTTGTTTCTCTCTGCTTTCAGGACTTTTTCTTTGGATTTAGTTTTCAGAAGTTTAATTATGATGTATCTTGGTGGACTTATTTAGATTTATCCTATTTAGATTCACTGAGTTTCTTGAATCTGTAGGTTTATTTCTTCATTTTTCTTTATTACTTTTTCTTTTTCTTTTTAAATCCTGTTACATCTTCAGGTTTTTTGTTTTTTGAGACAGGGTCTCATTTTGTTGCCCAGGCTGGAGTGCAGTGGTGCGATCTCAGCTCACTGCAGCATCAGCCTCCTGGGCTCAAGCAATCCTCCCACCTTAGCCTCCTGAGTAGCTGGGACCACAGGTGTGCACCACCATGCCTATCTAATTTTTGCATTTTTTGTAGAGGCAGGGTTTCATCATGTTGCCCAGCGCAATACCTGAGCTCAAACAGTTTGCCTGCCTTGCCCTCCCAAAGTGCTGGGATTACAGGCCTGTGCCATTGTGCCTGGCCTGTGTTTATTTCTTTAACCAAATAAGAGAAGTTTTCAGCTGTTAATTCTTTGAATACTCTTTTTTTTTTTTTTTTTGAGACGGAGTCTCACTGTGTCACCTAGGCTGGAGTGCAGTGATGTGATCTCTGCTCACTGCAACCTCTGCCTCCCAGGATCCAGCAATTCTCCTGCCTCCCGAGTAGCTGGGATTACAGGTGTGTGCCACCAAGCCAGCTAATTTAGTAGAGACAGGGTTTCACTGCATTGGCCAGGCTGGTCTCGAACTCCTGACCTCAAGTGATTCACCCACCTTGGCCTTCCAGAGTGCTGGGATTACAAATGTGAGCTACCGTGCCTGGCCAATTCTTTGAATACTCTTTCTCCCCTACTCTCTTTCTCTTTTCTTTCTGGAATGCTGATGATATGAATGTTGAATCTTCTGTTGTTATCTCACAATGCCTTGAGATTCTGTTAATTTTTTTGGTGTTATTTTTTCCGTCTCTTCACATTGAGTAAATTGTATTGACCTGTTCTTAAGCTCACTGATTCTGTCCTCTGTTGTCTCCACTCTCTTACTGATTTCATCTGGTGAGTTTTTAAATTTCTTAATGTATTTTTTATTTTTATATTTCTATTTGATTTCTTTTTAAAAGTTCTGTCTTTGCTGATATTTTCTATATGTTTGTTTCAAAAGAATTTTAAGTAGTTCTTGAAGCATTTTTATGAGAGCTATTCCAATTTTTATTTATTTATTAATTTTTTTTTTTTTTTTTGAGGCAGAGTCTTGCTCCGTCGCCCAGGCTGGAGAGCAGTGATGCGATCTCGGCTCACTGCATCCTCCACTTCCTGGGTTCAAGCAATTATCCTGCCTCAGCCTCCCAAGTAGCTGGGACTACAGGCATGCGCCACCATGCCCAGCTACTTTTTGTACTAGAGACGGGGTTTCACCATACTGGTCAGGCTGGCCTCAAACTCCTGACCTCAGGTGATATACCTGTCTCGGCCTCCCAAAGTGCTGGGATTACAGGCGTGAGCCGCTGCATTCGGCCTACTCTGAAATTTTTCTTACAATTTTCACATCTGTCTCAGTGTTGGTGTCCTCTAATTGTCTTCTTTGATTCAGATAGCGATTTTCCATTGAACCCTGGATATTTTGGCTATCATGTTAGGGGATGTCCAGTCTTATTTAAGCTGGCATTCACTGTGCTTACTTAGGTTTACCATGCAGGTCCTGGACTGTTTTAGTGGATTGTGGTTCCAATAACAGTTTAATTTTCAGATCCTTTGCAGTGGTATTTGGGTCTGCTTGTTTTATCTGGTGCCACAGAGGCTCCCATTGACCTCTGCTGCTTCTTATTGATCTCTGTTGCTTCTGTTTGAGGCGGTGGGAATTTTCACAGGCTGGGTTGCCTGATGCCTGTAGATGTGGACAAAAGGGAGTCTTCAGCCTGTGGGGACAGACAGGCTTCCTGGCAGGATCCCCTTTGCTTGAGCTACTTGGCTGCTCAGCATCTTGTGAGAGCGGGAGGTGTTGTAGTCTCAGGCCCACAAGGACAAAGAGGCTTCCTGGGCTGGACTATTTTTGTGATCTTCTCCCACTTGCTTGTGCCATTTGGCCTCCCCTAGTCTAGTCTTTATTTTTGAGACTTGAGGGAACATAAACTTGCAACGAAAGTCATTTAATAATCTCCTAAGATCTACCATAACTAAGTTACTTCTCTTAGTTGGGAAATGCCAGGAATTGGTAAAATTAATGGGTCAACCAACTACTTCAAAACTCTGAATCTCAATATAAATGGCTACATCAGGACTGGTAACTCTGGTTCAAAGTAGAAAATAATTGTAATAAGTAGTGTTAGCTGTTTAGATATCCAAGCTCTGTTTGCTAAATCAACAAGAATACCAAGTAGGACAAAGGTATAAAATTGCGAAATTTCTGTCTTTTGGTTTACTTAATTGAATCTGTTGATTTTTATTCTCTCTCTCCAGCTGAGTTCTTTCAGAACCATGCCCATAGTTTATATTCATTCATAAGTATTTTGTTTTCCTCACTAATACTCCTTTTACCTCAGATGATAAACCCTCGTGTGTGTGTGTGTGTGTGTGTGTATGTGTATGTGTCTCCCTTTCTGTGTTTCTGTCTCTGTCTCTCTGTTTGTCTCAGGCAGGAGTGCAGTGGTGTGATCATAGCTCACTGCAGCCTCGACCTTCTGGGCTCAGGTGATTCTCCCACCATAGCTTCTGTAGTAGGTGGTATTACAGGTGTACACTGCCACATCTGGCCTACTTTTTATTTCCTATTCCTCATAAGATTGAAAAGCCTGATGCTGTAATAAACCAGTAGTGAAATGGCCTTGACTAAGATGGGAGTCCATTCACATGGTCTGTTTAATCTTTAATAAGCCTTGTGAGATCATTATCTCATAGATAAACACATAAAATCAGTGAAAAATTACATATCTAATTAGTGATAGAACTTGAACCCACATCTGTGAGTCTAAAATATAAGTGCTGTTTCTGCTGCACTCAGGAGATTGGACAAGGTTGTTGTTTTTTTTTTTTTTTTTTTTTTTTGAGACACAGTCTCACACTGTTGCCTGGGCTGGAGTGCAATGGTGCGATCTCAGCTCACTGCAACTTCTACCTCCAGGGTTCAAGCAGTTCTCCTCCCTCAGCCTCCCCAGTAGCTGGGATTACAGGTGCCTGCCACCACTCCCGGCTAATTTTTTGTATTTTTAGTAGAGATGGGGTTTCACTATGTTAGCCAAGCTGGTCTCAAACTCCTGACCTCGTGATCTGCCCACCTTGGTCTCCCAAGGTGCTGGGATTACAGGCGTGAGCTACTGTGCCCGGCCTGGACAAGGATCTTTTCTTTTTATTTTTTTTTTTTGAAATGGAGTTTTGCTCTTTGTTGCCCAGGGAGGGAGTGCAATGGTGTGATCTTGGCTCACTGCAACCTCCATCTCCCAGGTTCAAGTGAGTCTCTTGCCTCAGCCTCCCGAGTAACTGGGATTACAGGCATGCGCCACCATGCCTGGCTAATTTTTTGTATTTTTAGTGGAGACGGGGTTTCTCCATGTTGGTCAGGCTGGTCTCGAACTCCTGACTCACGTGATCCACCTGCCTCGGCCTCCCAAAGTGCTGGGATTTCAGGCATGAGCCACCGCACCCAGCTGGCCTGGACAAGGATCTTAATGAGCTGTTTCTTATTTCTCTTTAGGTGAAAAGTTAGATTGTTCTCTAAGGCCCTTCTATACCAAGAGTTTGTAATTATCTAATCTAAATAATATTGAACCTTGTTATTTCATTTGTTTACTTAAAAATAGAACATAGAATTACTGGACTCCTTTTTTTTTTTCATTTGAAACTGTTTTGCCCACTTGTTAATGCTAGTGGACAAAGCCATGCTTTTTAGAAGATGTTAGTGGAAGACAATAATGGGATGATAGAGTGAAGGTTTATAGTTAGGTGTTAACGGTAAGGTAAAGCAAACAACAACAAAAAATTTCCAAGGAATCTTTTATTGCTATGACCTCCCTCTCTAGGCGATTCCTAGATCACTCTCATTTGTTCTGTGCCCATCTGCTGCTCTGTTGACCTAGAACCTCTCATTTTGGGGCCACAACTAGATCTACTTACCCCAAGCTGCTTGTTTAAAAGTTTTCCTACACACCCTTTCCCTTATGTCTTTAGTGCTTTTATTCCCATTTGTTTGATGGTGTATTTTGGGGAGGAAAAGAGTATGAAGAAACAAATTGATTGAAGTGTGGATGAATCAAATGTTTACTTTTTAAATCAAAGTTAAAAGCTACATTTATATTATTTCTTTTTAAAAAGCAGATTAGTTGTTAATCCGAATGAATCAATCATGGTGGAATTGCAGGTAATGTGATCAAGGGAAGGAAAAATGTTTTACTGAAGATGTGTAGGAATACAAAAATTTAAATTTAAATCTAAAATCAACCAAGACTATTTATTAATTCAGTAATTTCTAAATTACCAAACGTAATTTAGAAATTTCCAATGTAAGTGTGCTGTTGAGGTCAGTTTTGTTCTGTGTTTTCTGTTTGTAAAGGCATGTAAGTATGCCATAAAATCTATTTTTGGTCTTAAAGTTATGTAGTATTAAATTTCGAGAGTTCATATGTGAATAATGATTGTGGGTGTGTGTTTACAGATATATGTCTAAGTGGATATCATGTGAATGAAAGATTGTAGATACAATGACTATAAATTTATTATATCTTTATATTTAAAATTGACTTTAGGCCAGGTGTGGTGGCTTATGCCTGTAATCACTTTGGGTGGTGAAGCGGGAGGATCGCTTGAGCCCAGGAGTTTGAGACTAGCTTGGGCAACATAGGGAGACCCTATCTCTACCCAAAAAAAAAAAAAAAAAAAAATTATTAGCTGTTCGTGGTGATGCAGACATGTGGTTCAGCTACTCAAGAGGCTGAGGAGGAAGGAGCATTTGAGCTTAGGAATTCAAGGCTGCAGTATGATTGAGCCAGCCTGGGTTACAGAGCAAGACCCTGTCTCTAAATAAATGAACAAATAAATAAAATAAAATCGACTTGAAGTGAGGGCATTTAAGCATCTGGTCTAGATGACTTTTTTTTTTTTTTTTTTTTTTTTTACCTTGAAAGTCTATTATTTAATCCTATTGAAGTTCAAGGGATTGAGCTTTGAAGGATAAATATAGATTGTGTATAGTTCAGCCAGGAATAGGGAAAATGATTAATCATTGTGGCCTTAAGGCCAAGTTTTGACAACTGTATTTTATAGGAAGGAGTACGGAAAAAATGGACAAGAGATTGGGGATTAAAGTAGGAATTAGGCAGTAACTTGTTATTGCAAGGGAGAATATCTCTAGGATCAAATAAGTTGGATTAGTGATGTCCCTTAAACCTGTTTATCAAAGGTTTGAAATGGGGATAACAAATATTGGCAGACACTGATGAATTTTAAGGATGGACGGTACAAGCTTAATGTATTAAAGATTCTTTGGATTGGGTGCAGCATGGAATGCCAGTGAGGAGACCAAAAATAATCTGGAAAGGAGTAGACTTCAGGATTTCATGAAGTCTTAAAATACTTAAACAACTGTCATTGGAATGATAAAGAAATAATGTCAAACTTTTCCAGCCCACTTTCAAAGATAATTTGTTGCAAAATCAGTTTCAAAATTCAAACATTGCAGAGGAAAACAAAGAGCCCCCCAGATTTTCCCAGCATTATACTACTGATTTCCATCATAAAGGTAGACTTATAAATAGACTTATAGGAAGAGTATTTAGCTTAGCTTAAGAAGGAATTTGTGAATAATTGGAAATGCTTGAGGACATAGTGCCCGCCCACCACGTTGTATGCTTGTATAAGACATTGGGTGATTACCTGTTTAGATACCTTAGACGGGGTACAAGTACCTGTAGGTAAATGGTCTAGGTCACCTATGGAGCTCCCTTGTCAACCGATATCTTATCTGATTTTTGTTAGTAGGTGTTGAAAACAGAGAGAGAGTTGTGTAAACTGAGAATTAAGTAAAGAATGATCAAAAGTTGTAGGATTTTATTTTACCCAGCAATTCCTCTTTTGCCTGTATACGCAAAAGAATCGAAAGCAGAGACTTAACAGATAGTTTTAACACTAGTGTTCATAGCAGCGTGATTCACAGTAGCCAAAGGGAAGAAACAACCCAAATATCCATTGATGGGTGGATGGATGGCTGAACAAAATGTAGCATATATATTCAATGGAATATTCAGCTTTAAAAAGAAAGGAAAATGACACCTGCTGCAGCATGGATGAATCTTGAAGACATTGTGCTAAGTGAAATAAGCCAGACAAAAAATAAAAAATACTGTACGATTCCACTTATATGAGATACCTAGAGTAGTCAGATTCATAGAGACAAAGAGAATGGTGGTTGCCAGGAGCTGGTGGGCAGGGGAAGATGGTTGCTGTTTAGTGGGTGTAGAGTTTCCGTTTTGTAAGATGAAAAGGTTGCTCAACAGGGTGACTGTACTTAACACTACTGAACCTGTACACTTAGGTAAGATGGTAAATTTTATGTATATTTTACCACAATAAAAAAGTTCTAGGATTTTGCATTTATTTGAATGGGGCACAATTTAATCTAATGTAGGAGAAACAGCCATCTTGTTATATTAGTAGGAAATAGAGAACATTTGCCTAAGGTAAAGAGAATGAGCAGAGGTATGCCTTTAACTTTTTCAGGAAGGTTAATGTTCATTTTACCTTGTTAAATTTAAAATCTAGACAGTGATGGGTGGTTAAGAAAGTGAAGGATAAGAATGTGATTTTTATTAACTTCTGCTCACAATGCAATGATTCAGAATTGGTAAAACAAGTAAGTTTTAGAGTTTTGGCAAGAGCCTTTAGAATGAGAAGGATTATAGACAAGACAAAGCAAGCTAAAGCTGAGACTTTTAACTTTGAAAGTTGATGGGCCATGTATACTTAATGACCTTTATTCTGGACTTCATTTACATGTGTCTTTGAGCCCCAGAAAGAAACTAAGAATGAAAGAAAGAATAGTGAAAATGTCATGATGCTCAGTGGGGAAATTAGACATCATTAGTTACCGGAAAAGTTACCAGTTAATTTTGGGAAGAGATCTCTTTTTAAAAAAATACATAATTAGGAAACATTAAGAATCATAATTTTGCTACAAGTGCTACTGCATTTACAGTTGAATATACTGTTATTTGTAAACCACGGGGTTGGAGACTGACAAATTAGAAAACAAGCTCTAAACCTGAGTTTCTGATTTTGTTCGATTCTTGAATTGATAGCAAAATTGCAAATATGGCTAACAGTTTTTAGATAGTGTACATTTTAAACTTCTATCTATTTGCTGAATTTTTCTGGAGGCAAATTGTGTGTGTGTGTGTGTGTGTACGTGCACACTAGTAAAGAGACTGTCATTTGGCTCAGCTCAGCTCCAGTTCAGTTATTTTTACATTAAAATGTAAGAATGAGTACTTCTTTCTTATGGAAACTTCCACTTCATCTTTTATACCACCTGCACATACTACCGTGTTGCTATATGATAGGTCCTTTGTAAATATTAAATGAATGAGAAATCAAGACAGCTTCTTTTCCATATTTTTTTTCCTGAGTTTATGGAGTTTTAGTATTATTATTTGATTTTATATTTGTATTTTTTTCTTTTATATTGAAACCTTTAGTTCAAAACAGCATTATAAATGTATCCTTTCAGTACATAAACATAGTTTCAAATTATTAATTTCAGCATAACTACTAATTATTGCTATATATATTTTAGAGGAGGACAACACATTTAGTTTTATTTCAATCAAATCACAACACTTTCTTTTCCAATTGCTGCAAAGTGCATCTACAATATTCTATTACAGATCCACTTTAAAAAGGTTTCCTATGACATTACAGCAAGCCTCTTTTTTCAAACAGAGAAATAATCCCAAATTTTTCCTCAATTAAAAATAAAAACTCCATTCCAGTAAGTGGTAAATACATAAAAATTACAGTAAGCCAGACACTTAAAAGGACAGCCAAGAAGTCTTCCAACAGTTTATTAGAAAGAATGTGGACATCAAGAAAAATCCCCACTGTCATGAACATAAATTGAGGTTTTAAGCCCTGGTATAAGCTGAAAAAAAAAAAAAGAAAGAAATCCAATACTGTATTAAACGTTTTTCACTCATTTGCCATACTGACAGTGCAGATACAAATCTGGTCTAAATGTACAGACTCTTAAACAAACAACAATGTACAGCTTTCTTCATCTTCCGTGCTAAGAGATGTAAAAACACCTAAGGGTCAAACAATACCAAATATACAGGCTTCAAAAACCATCTAAATTAGGGCATTCTCTAGTTTTAGCTAAGATACATGTGAATACTGACAAGTAATCACTTATATAGAATAATGTGAAGTAAATATTTTGAAAAATAAACTTGGAACAATCCTGAAGGATAACACCAGAGGAATAGCAGGTTACCAGTAAGGTGTCAGCCAATTTGTTCCAGCCATTTTTGAATCCATGTTCTATAATCTAAAATTTAGTTCTCTTTCCGTAAGCTGAGAGCTTCCTATCATGTCAGTATCTATGTTATGAAGAAAAGGAGACTTAGGTGGTGAGATGTTTTTATTTATCACAACTGCTGCATCAATTGCCTAGGACCTCACTCAACAGCTTCATGAAAATCTAGGAAATGTTCATGCATAAGGTTATTGCCTTAGCTGACTTAAAATTGCCCCATACAATGGTACATATCAACCCTTAGTGAAGCCTTTTAAAAAAACAAGCAGGCTGAAAAATGGGTCAAAGTAGGCAAATACAGCATCTGCCTTTAGAGCTGTCAACTTAGGAATTCTCTCAATTGTGAAATCTTGCAGAGAAGTTATTTTTCTTTCCCAAAATCCAGGTGATGACAGTATTCCTTACTCCCGATCTGGCATTTTTTCATCATCGCTGTCTTGTGAATCATCACCTGCTCCATCTACTTCTGGTCAATCTGCATCCTCTTCACCACCCATGTTGTTCATCATCTCAGAGAAACGATCAAAATTAGACCTGTCTTCATCTGAACCATCTTCCCAGTGTTTCCAATTACTGAAGTCCACACTAAGCCAATTGAGTTTTGCCCTTCCTTTTGTTAACCTTGGCTATGACTGGCCAGATTCTCCTTTTCGTAAACAACATACAATTGATCTGTCCGTTTTTTTTATGCTTGGAATCATTAGGATCAATACTGTGAAAAAGATCAACTTCATTTAAATACTTAAAATTATCACTTCCTCTGAGACAACTGAATGTTAAGTTTGGATTTTTCAAAATTTACATGAACATCCTTACTGTGTTCACAGAATTCAGTGAAGACATAGTCCCTTCGATAGTACCACTTTGCAGAAGCAGGCTGCATTGTGAACAGGGCAGGGGGACGGGCGAACAGGTGGGCGGCCCTCTGGCGTCGACTGCTGCTAGGGAGTCGACTTCTCTCCGGTGACGACTCTGCGTTTTCTCCCGGTCGCGGCCTCTTCTCGCTTCCCTCAGGCGATGGCGGCAGCGGCGGGCTCCACCTCGGTCCCCAGAATGCACCGCGCAGAAAGAGCGGCCCCTCCGGTCGGGGAGAAGAGAAAAGTGTAGGAAAAGGGGCCCGAGGACTTACTGTTAAATTTTTATGTAGAGAAAACCTTGCAGAGTAAAGAGTTACTTTTACCTTTTATTATCTACAAGTTTCTTTTACCTTTTATTATCATTTTTGGGCTTTCAAAATTTCTGTGTGAAGGTGGAAGATGAATTCTTCTCGCCAACTCAATTTTTAGTATTAATGTTGATAGGCTTCTTGCCAGTGAGATTCAGTCCATTAAATCTTTAGTTCGCCAGATAACCTGAATTACTTGCAACTCATTGCATCATAAGCAGGAGTTGTTCTAGGAGTGTCAGTGGCATTATTGTACTCTTTACATGGTAGATCAGTTTGTGCCATATTGAATCCATTCATTAGTGTCCGTCCATCATAGTGCAGGTCCAGAAACAGCAGAAAGATGAACACTCTAAATAAAGCAGAGAGACATAAGTTGCCCCAGTGTTTTCATTTTCTTGCTGCTTCTTATTTGATAAGTGGATATTTATGGTGTTTGTTTTGGAATGGTTTTCTTTTCCTTTGGTTAGTCAAGTGATCAAGTGCTTTGTTTTCTGGATACATTTTGTTTTATTTGACCCTGGGACCCTGGGAGAATATATACGTGTTCATAGAAAATATGGGAACAGGCCAGGCAGTGGCTCATGTTTCAACGGTGGTTCACCATGTTGGTCAGGCTGGTTTCCAACTCCTGACCTCGAGTGATCTGCTCGCTGTGGCCTCCCAAAGTGCTGGGATTATAGGCGTGAGCCACCACGCCCAGCCCCGCATATTTTTTTAAAAACAACTTTATTGAGGTGTAGTTTACATGCCATAAACTCCAAATTCCACCTCATTTTCCTTTTTTTTTTTCCCTCCTTTCCTTTCCCTTTCCCCTTTTTCTTTCTTTCCTGACAGGGTCTTGCTCTGTCACCCAGGCTGGAGTGCAGTGGTACAGTCATAGCTCACTGCAGCCTTGAACTCCTGGGCACAAGGGATCCTCTCATCTCAGCTTCTGGAGTAGTTGGGACTATGGGAACACACCACCACACCTGGCTATTTATTTATTTTTTTGATTTTTTCTTTTTGAGACGGAGTCTTGCTCTTGTTGCCCAGACTGGAGTGCAGTGGCGCGATCTTGGCTCACTGCAACCTCCATCTCCCGGGTTCAAGCTGTTCTCCTGCCTCAGCCTCCTGAGTAGCTGGGATTATGGGCATGTGCCTCCATGCCCGGCTAATTTTGTGTTTTTAGTAGAGACGGGGTTTCTCCATGGGATTTCTCCATGTTGGTCAGGCTGGTCTCGAACTCCTGACCTCAGGTGATCCGCCCGCCTAGGCCTCCCAGTGTGCTAGGATTACAGGCGTGAGCCACCGCGCCTGGCCTGATTTCTTAATTTTTACATTTTTTGTAGAGACAAGTTCTCCATATGTTTCCCAGGCTGGTCTCAAATTTCCGGGCTCAAGCGATCCTCCCACCTCAGCCTCCCAAAGTGTTAGGATTTTGGGCCAGTCACCACACCAGGCCAGAAACTCCACCTGTTTTCAGTGCACAGTTCAATGGTTTTAAGTAAATTTACTGAGTTGTGCTATTATCACCATAATCCGGTTTTAGAATGTTTTCATCACTCCAGTGAGATCTCTCATACTGGATACGGGTAATGCTGGCTCCTCCTAACAGCCTGTAATCTACTTTCTGTCTCTGTAAGTTTGGCCATATCTGGACATTCATATAAATGGAATCATATAATATGTAATCATAAACTCCAAATTCCATCATGTTTGTAGCATTGATCAGTACTTCTTTCTTTTCATTGGTCCAAATTGTTGTATAGACTTTTCTCATATACTTACTTTTTTAAAAATCATATACATTTATTTAACTTTATATGGTATATTGCAGACTTAGAAAAGTTGCAAAGGTAGTACAAAGAATTCTTATATAAACTTTATCTGGATTCTCCAGATGTTAACATCTGTCTAATTTGTGTTTCTGAGATGTCTGAGGATAAATTGTAGACATAATGCCCCATTCACTTTTAAATACTTCAGAGTAGGCTTGATGCAGTGGTTCACACCTATAATCTCAGCACTTCGGGAGCTGAGGTGGGAGGATTGCTTGAGTGCAGGAGTTCAAGACCAACCTGGGCAACAAAGCGAGCCCGTCTCTATACAATAATAAAATAAAATAATTAGCCAGGTATCGTGGTGCACACTTGTAGTCCCAACTACTCTAGAGGTGGAGGCAGGAGAATTAAATTTGAGCCCAGGAGTTCAAGGCTGCAGTGAGCTATGATTGCACCACTGCACTCTAGCCTGGGGGACAGAGCAAGATCCTGTCTAAAAATAAATAAATAAATAAATAAGTCAGTCAAGCAAGCAAACTTCAGAATATATTTTCTAAAGGCAAGTACATTCTTTAACTACAGGGTAAAATAGTTAATAGGAAATCTACATTGGCACAATATTATCTAATCAGACTTTATCCAGATTTGGTAATTCTCCCACTGATGTCCTAATCCAGGATCACATGTTGTATTTGCATTTAGTTTTCATGTATCTTTACTCTTCTTTAATCTGGAATTGTACTTCAGTCTTTATCTTTCATGACTAGACATTTTTTTTAGTGCAGGCCAGCTGTTTTGCAGATTGTTTCTCAATTTTTATTTCTGCTGTTTAATTATGATTAGATTTAAGTTGTGCAGTTTTGGCAGGAGTGTCACAGGATCGATAGGACATTTTTACCATAATATATCTGGATTCCATGATTTCAGTGTACCACAGTATTAGTGATGGTAACTGTGATTACTTGGTTTATGCAATGTCTACTGTTTCTTCACTGTAAAGATACCATTTTTCCCCTTTGTAATTAGTAAGTATTTTGGGGTGAAGATACTCTGAGACTCTGTAAACATCTTGTTTCTCATTGTACCTTTGCCCACTAATTTTAGCATGTTATTAATCTATTGCTGCTTAACAATATTATCACAGATTTAGCAGCTTAAAACAGTGCATTTATTATCTCAGTTTCTATGTGTCAGGAGTCTGAGCACGGCTTTACCTGATCCTCGGCAATGCAGCAGAGCGTTGGTCAGGGCTGAGTTTTTACCTGAAGACTTGATTGGGGAATGATCAGCTTCCAAGCTCATGTGGTTGTTGGAAAGATTCAATCCTTGTGGGTTATCAGATTGAGGGTCTGGATTCTTAGCTGGCATTTGGCTAGAGGCTGTCCTGAGTTCTGTGGCCTTCCCCAACATGGCCACATGCTTCCTCAAAGCCAGCAAGGAAGAGTCATCAAGCGAGGACACTGCAGTCATATGTGAAATAGTCACTTATGTGAGACCCTTTACCTTTGTTCTTTTTTGATTATTAGAAGCTGATTACAGGCCCTACCCACACTACAGGGGAAGGAATTATGTAGGGCCATGAGTACACAAAGCAGGGATTACTGGAAGCCTTTTTAGGTCTGTCTACCACAGCATCCACTAATCTTACCTGAAACTTCCTATCACTGTTGCCGCATATGGTGATTTTCTAATTCTGTCAATCTTGGTATATATATATATTTTTTGTTGGAATTTTACTGTGAGGAATTCTCCCCCACTCGTTGATTTGTTCATTTATTCTTAGCATGACCTCATGGATTCTTATTCTTTGGGTTATTTCTGCTATAGTCATTTATTGCTTTAGGGTAAGTAGCAATTTAATTCCTCCAAGAACAGCATTTAGAGAAGTCTTTAGCATGGGTTTCTCTTTTTTTGAGATGAGCTCTCACTCAGTCGCCCAGGCTGGAGTACAGTGGCATGATCTCGGCTTACTGCAACCTCTACCTCCCAGGTTCAAGCAGTTCTCCTGCCTCAGCCTCCCGAGTAGCTGGGATTACAGGTGCCCGCCACCATGCCCAGCTAAGTTTTTTGTATTTTTAGTAGAGACGGGGTTTCGCCATTTTGGCCAGGCTGATCTCGATCTCCTGACATCAAGTGATCCACCTGTCTTGGCCTCCCAAAGTGCTGGAATTACAGGCGTGAGCCACTGCGTGGCCCAGCATGGATTTTTAAACAGGATTTGAGGTATAGTAAGTCATTGGTCAAATATACTCTAAATGAAAGATAAATTTTAACAGGTGAGCCATTCTATCATAGGTTTGCAAAGCCTTTGAAATTCTATTTGAAAATATACTTTGATGTAACAGACTTTCAAGTTACCATCAAAATGCTGAAAATGCTTTTATATTAATGTGTTTTAAGTGAAGAGCTAATTTTTCCCCTAAAAATCATTACCATGTAACTTAAATGATTAAAAGTTTTGGTGATATGATCTAAATATACTCATTCTAAAACCACTAGTTTTCTCAGCTTCATCTTTGGCTTGTCTCTTGATCTTTGAATGTTATGTATAGGCATCCCCTTCTTTGTATTTGTGGGCATCTGGGGTTCTCACTCTCTGTCAGTGTATCATCTTGTACTTGGTGAACAAGTACCTTGCTATTCAGTGTGTCTTTTTAAGTGAAAGTCTTTCATTTCCATCTGTATGCAATTTCCCCTCTTACCTGCTGTTCTAGTTTTTGTTTTGTTTTTAATAGCATGCCCTGTGACAAAGTGATTTTCAAAAAGAGCTCTATTGTCTTTCAGAAGTTTCCTTGTTTTAATAGTTTATTTGTATATTTCCGGACTATTTACTTCAATATTTCTTGTAGAAATGATGCCTGATAACCCCCTACCCAAATTAAATTAATCAGTGAAAAAAATGTACACTGAAGAACATATCCTGAAAAACTTTTAAGTAGGAATAACCATTGTTTATTGCATTTAATTGAAGAGACCAAGAAAGTTACTAGGCTTTAGTTTCTTCACTGTGAGGTAATATTAATTCCTAAATGATCTCTGAAGTTGAGGAAAAACAAAATAGAAAAATTCTGAAAGTGTATTGTCATTTTAAAAATGAAAGTTGAAAAAAGTAGAAAACATTTACGTTTCTTATATGTTACCTAATTGCAAATGTATTCCACTTTTTTCCAAAAAATAGTTTCTCCATTCCTTGTTTACTTTGGTGCATTTCTTTTTGGCTGGATTTCATCATCAGCTAGAATTTTTACATTTATGGATGATCTTTTCCCTGAGTTCTTGCGGGCTTAAGAATTTTTTTTTTTGAGACAGAGTCTTGCTCTGCCAACCAGGCTGGAGTGCAGTGCAATCTTGGCTCACTGCAACCTCCGTCTCCTGGGTTCAAGCAATTCTCATGCCTTAGCCTCCCAAATAGCTGGGATTACAGATGCCTACCACCATGCTTGGATAATTTTTGCATTTTTAGTAGAGACTGGGTTTCACCATGTTGGCCAGGCTGGCCTCGAACATCAGACCTCAGGTGATCCGCCAACCTCGGCCTCCCAAAGTGTTGGGATTACAGGCGTGAGCCACCACACCAAGCCAAGAATGTTTTCTATTGCCTCTTTGTTTGAATGCCATCTAGGCTAGATATAAAATTTTTCATTCATACTCTTAAGAACTTTTTTTGCTGTCTTTTGGCAGTGAGTATTGCTAAGAAAGCAAATGTTTCCTTCATTATATAGTGCTTGCTTTATTGGTCAATATTTTGCTGCATAATCTTAAAATTTCAGTGGCTTATAACAACAAATACTTTTTTTCTTCCTCATGTCTTTAGGTTAACTGGGGCTTAGTTATTGTTAGCTAGACTTTGTTGTAGGCTGTGGATTGTTCTCTCCTTCTGCTGGAATCTGGCTCTCATGTCAATCACAGGAGTCAGCCAAACAGGCAAATTTTAGCCTCTGCTTCCGTCATGTCTCTTATTTCATTGATCAAATCAAGCCTTGTGGCCAAGACGAACATCATTGTGGCAGGGAAATATATTTCACTTACTGTAACGTACTGCAAGGTCACACGATGGTGTGAATGATGAAATGGAAACACTAATTCAAGCTGCCACTTTGGCTTTTAACGCCTGGAACCTGGTTTGATTCTTTCTTTATCCTTGACGCTTAAGATTTAGGAAAATATTAACTTTTTTTTTTTTTTTGAGATGGAGGCTCGCTTTGTCGCACAGGCTGGAGTGCAGTGGCTCACTGAAACCTCCGCCTCTTGGATTCAAGTGATCAGCTCACCTTGGTCTTCCAAAGTGCTGGGATTACAGGTGTGAGCCACCGCACCCAGCCAAGATTTAGGAAAAATTTAGATGTTTCTGAGTATCTGAGTACTTGGGGTTAGTCTGTACAGATTTGGGTAGCATCTTACCTCTTACATTATCATGTAATATACATTATTGATGCATAAGGGTAATCTTTTCTCGTTAACAGAAGAGAGTGGTTTACCTGTGAATATTCTCCTGTGTTGTTGTTCTTTTCCCTTTCCTATCTCTGTAAATTTGATTGCTTTTATGTAGGTGCTTTGTATCTATTAAGATACTTCCAGCTGTAAATGACAGGAAACACGATGTAAACTGGCTTAAACATTGAAGGAATCTCATCATTTAATGCAAGTGAAAAAAACAGGCAAAACTTTATCCAAGTTCTCCAGTCAGTTTCATCAGTATCTCAGCTCTGCTTCCTTCAATTTTGTTCCATTCTCAGTAGGCTCATCCATCATAATTGCAAGATGACTGCTCACAGGCCTTAGAGCTGGATATTTTGGGTTGAATTGTAGAAGAGAAGAAAGATTCTACTTTTCAGAGACATTAAAATCACTCATCACTGAGTCTGGCTCGCTTACAGTTGAGTCAGATTTTTTCCTTTCAGTATATGTAGTTATAAATATGTGTTTCAGAGAAGTATAGGATTTATAGAACATAGAAGTGGCTTATTTTAGCAAGAGACATTAAGGCTAAAATCTGAAAAGTTGAATTGGAGGTTGCTAGGAGAAAAGGAGGTGAGGGTTATCATTGCAAGCAGAAGTGTTGGGCCAAGTAGTCAGAAGAATTTTAAATTACCAAATGAAAAGAAAGGTAGAGTAGGCTGGCAGAGAGGGTGTGTAGCAGAATGGTCAAGGTCAGATTATTTTGGTCAAGGTCAGATTATTTTGATAATTTTGTACTTTATACTAAGAACATTATGATATGGATGAATTTTAAGCTGGACAGGAGGTAGTATGATCATATTTATATTTAAAAGGTTACTCTGGCTTCAGAGTGGAGAATAGTTGTATGTGAGGGTGAGATTCCTATCACTTGAGATGGGGAACACTGGAACACTGCCAGACTAGGGTAGGATAGTAAGTTGGTAAAGTAACTGCTGTAGTTACTGAATCTTGACTCTGTGACATATACTTGGTATGTACATTATCTGTGATCTGTACAATCGAGTTACACAGTAGGCAGTATTACCTCTATTTTGCAGATGAGTAAATTAAGGGTGTTTAAAGTGACTTGCCCAGGCTACAGTCAGGTCTGTATTCAGATTGGTATGAATCATTAAATCTGGCTCTTTACCATGCAGTGATGACTCCTTTCATTAATTGCTATATTTGCTTTATCTAAGCAGTACAATGATTGACTTCTGCTCTCTTAGCCCTACTAGCTACTGCTAGCTTTTATTACAGAGAGAACTAAAAAGGGCCATTGGCAATATGATCAAAGTCACTTTAGTTCTTTGGGCCTTATGTACAAAACATATTAGTATGTTTGCTTACATGCTCACCGCATAAAATTATAGCACTGCACTTGTTCCTTTCCTTGACAGAACCCCTACCTCTTCAACCCCAATCTCTTGAGCATGGACAAGAAAAATTAGAAGCTGACTTGTTGTGTGATAGTTACATAATCTTTAAGGTGGTTCTTACTACAGCTGCTTCGGGTGTTAGTACTTACCCTACTGAATTTACTTGAACTTTTAAGTTGGTATTGATCTCAGTACTATGGTTTTATCACCCATGCAGATGATGTCTTATTTCTTCAAGTCGTTCACTTTTATTTAATTATAGAATTCTGGAGCTCTACCTTCCCATGAGGATATATTCCAGCCATCATGGGTAGTGTGTCCTGTTTTGCTTCTCTGCTATTGCTTTATTATTCATAAAAATAAACTGCCCGGATTCTTTGACTTTTTGTATTTTCCTGAGATCATGCCTAAATTTTGTTTTAAATGGTACTGTGTCCTGTATATCTTGTAGGTTTTTCAAAATTTTGTTTCCTTCAAAGAAAATTATATCCAGATTTGCAAGGAAAATATTATGGCAGTTTGTAGTTATTCTTTTTTTTTTATTTTTTATTTTTTGAGACGGAGTCTCGCTCTGTCGCCCAGGCTGGAGTGCAGTGGCACGATTTTGGCTCACTGCAACCTCCGCCTCCTGGGTTCACGCCATTCTCCTGCCTCAGCCTCCCAAGTAGCTGGGACAACAGGCGCCCGCCATCACGCCCGGCTAATTTTTGGTATTTTTAGTAGAGTCAGGGTTTCACCGTGTTAGCCAGGATGGTCTCGATCTCCTGACCTCATGATCCGCCTGCCTTGGCCTCCCAAAGTGCTGGGATTACAGGCGTGAGCCACTGCGCCCGGCCGACAGTTTGTAGTTATTCTTACCACATCTTTTCACCAGATGTGTGTGCCATTTACTTTCATTTTATAGGTTTCACTTTAATGACTGTTTTGTTGTTATTTGTTGTTGTTACTCTTCTAAGTGCTAAGCCAGACTAGACTGATTTTTTTTCTCTCTGACTTAAAGCACTTTATGTACACACTTTACAGTCTCTTACCCATAATTACAGTATCCGCAGTGGTTGAAAAACTAAGTTTCCTCATACATTTAGCACCAAACTCACTTGACAACAACAGTTCTCTTGAACTGACATGAGACTGTATATAATCTTTATTTATCCATCTTAGTGTGAGTATTCATATGTTTCATTGTGTTTGGTTATGGGATGCTGTCCCTAATCTCCATGGCAGTGTCATATCATTTATGGCATATCATGTTACCTTTTTAAAATCCAAAAAATTCTTATGTCTGAAACATTTGGCCTAAGTGTTTTAGATCAGGGACTGTGGACCTGTGTTTATATTAATAGCACTGGTCACAGTGTGGTGTGGCTGTTTACTCCCTTGCCTATCTTCTCTATTAGATTCTAAGCTAAGAAAGCTTCCCTCTGTGGATCCACTAATCCTAGTTTACTGCCCTAAACAGAGTGGGTACTTAATATTGGAACTGAATACCATTAATTGGGGTAAATTTACCAGGTAGCTTATTGAAAATGTTTTTTTTCTTGGTTTTATGTCCTTTTTAAAGTAATCTCTTTCTAGTTCTGTTTCTCTTTTCCTTCTTGTTACTGGAATCTTGACTTCACCATTTATTGATAATATGATCTTGAACAGCTTATTGAAAACTTATAGTTTCTTCATTTGTAAAAACGGTGTAATAATTTTGCTCACCTCATAGATTGTTGTGAGGACTAAACAAAATGCTTCCTGGAACTTAGCACTCTTTTAGCTGCCAACATGGCTGTTGTTGATTTCTATCCTGTTGGTTACTTTATTATCATAGTCAACATTCTCTTCTTAATGGAGTTTGAGGTCATTTTTCAGTGCTTTGATGCTTTCAATGATGGAGTAAATCCTTGCACATTTGTCCTTAAGTCCTTTGGCCTTGGTTTTGTAGGACAGATTCAAGTGGGATTGTTGCATCAGTGGTCCCAAATATATTTAGTTTTAATGGATATTTCCATATTACTTTCCTAAGGCAGAATTGAGTAATGTGGGAAAAGGCAGCAGTTTTCTGTCCTCTCAACAGTCTGTAAGAGTGCCTATTTGCCCATAACCTTGTCAGCAATGGATTTTATCAATCCATTTTTTGTTATTGTTGTTGTTATTTGGAGATTAATTTTCACTGTTGTTGCCCAGGCTGGAGTGCAATGGCGCGGTCTCGGCTCACTGCAACTTCCACCTCCCAGTTTCAAGAGATTCTCCTGCCTCAGCCTTCCGAGTAGCTGGGATTACAGGCGCCCGCCACCATACCCAGCTAATTTTTTATATTTTTAGTAGAAATGGGGTTTCACCATGTTGGCCAGGCTGGTCTTTAATTCCTGACCTTCAGGTAATCCACCTGCCTCGGCTCCCAAAGTGCTGGGATTATAGACGCGAGCCACTGCGGCCAGCCTTTTTTTTTTTTTGAAATAATTATAGACTCACAGGAAATTGCAAAAATAGTACCTAGGGTCCCATGTACAGTTCATCCAGTTTCCTTTAATGGTAATATCTTATGTAAATATAGTACAATATCAGACCAGGCACAGTGGCTGACACCTGTAATCCCAGCACTTTGGGAGGCTGATGCGTGTGGATCACTTGAGGTCAGGAGGAGTTCAAGACCAGCCTAGCCAACATGGTGAAACCCCATCTACTAAAAATACAAAAATTAGCTGGGTGTGGTGGTGTGTGCCTCTAATCCCAGCTACTCAGGAGGCTGAGGCAGGAGAATCGCTTGAACCCGAGAGGCAGAGGTTACAGTAAGCCAAGATCGCACCACTGTACTCCAGCCTTGCTGACAGAGTGAGACTCCATCTCAAAAAAATATAAATAAATACAAATATAAATATAAATACATATTATATCAAACCAGGAAATTGACATTGGCATAAAACTGTTAACTATGGCTTGGGTCATTTTCTTTCTTTCCATCTGACCAATGGCATCTTGATTTAATTTGCCTTTTTATAACCACTATTAAGTTTGAGCTTCTTATTATACATTTTATTGGTAATTTACATTTATGGTTTATGAATCATTTGTTCACGTCCTTTTTTCCATTTTTTTCTAATGAGCTATTTGTTTTCCTAAAGAATATCTTCTTAGGACTATTAATCTTTTGTCTGCCGTATGTTTTGCAGTTAATTATTCTAGCTTCATATATTTTCTGTAGTTTTGTTGCTTTTATTTTTTTCCTGTGTAGAAATTTTTATTTTATACAGTCAATATGTTTCTTTGGTGGTTTTTGGGTTTTTCTCTTTTGTGGAAAGCTTTCTCTGTCTTCTAGGTTATACTGTTTTCTTTTGTTATTTATTTATTTATTTATTTATTTTTTAAGCCATGGTCTCACTCTGTTGCCCAGGCTAGAGTGCAGTGGTGTGATCATGGCTCACTGCAGCCTCAACTTCCTGGGCTCAGGTGATCTTCCCGCCTCAGCCTCCAAAGTAGCTGGTACTACAGGCGTGTGCCACAATGCATGGCTGATTTTGTGTGTGTGTGTGTGTGTGTGTGTGTGTGTGTGTGTGTGTGTGTATTTTTGTATTTTTTGTAGAGACAGGGGTTGCTCAGACTAGACTCAAGAGATCCACCCGCCTCAGCCTCCCAAAGTGCTTGGATTACAGGCATGAGCCACAGTGCCCAGAAGATTATACTGTTTTCTTTTAATCTTTTATATTTTGCCTTTGGCTTTTAATTCATTTGGAATATGTTTTTGTATATACTGTGTGCACATTCCCCCCAGATGTATGAGATATTCTAGCACTACTAAACTGTTTTATTTAGGACTTTTTCAGCTTCTTGTGACTTAAATCTCAACAAAATTCCAAAGGTAGTACTGGCTCAAGGCAAGACTTGATACACTGGTGAGAAGCAGCTGCAACGCTGAGCAGAGGAGGCAGGATCTGGAGTGTGAGCAGTAGCTGGGTGGGCACCATGGCTGGGATCACCACTATTGAGGCAGTGAAGCACAATATCCAGGTTCTGCAGCAGCAGGCAGATGATGCAGAGGAGAGAGCTGAGCACCTCCAGCGAGAAGCTGAAGGAGAAAGGCGCGCCTGGGAACAGGCTGAGGCTGAGGTGGCCTCCTTGAACCATAGGATCCAGCTGGTTGAAGAGGAGCTGGACTGTGCTCAGGAGCACGTGGCCACTGCCCTGCAAAAGCCGGAAGAAGCGGAAAAAGCTACTGATCAGAGTGAGAGAGATATGAAGGTTGTTAAAAACTGGACCTTAAAAGATGGAATTCCAGGAAATCCAACTCAAAGAAGCTAAACACACTGCAGAATAGGCAGATAGGAAGTATGAAGAGGTGGCTCGTAAGTTGGTGGTCATTGAAAGAGACTTGGAACTCACAGAGGAACGAGCTGAGCTGGCAGTGTCCCATTGCCGAGAGATGGATGAGCAGATGAGACTGATGGACCATAACCTGAAGTGTCTGAGTGATGCTGAAGAAAAGTACTCTCAAAAAGAAGACAAACGTGGAAGAGATCAAGATTCTTACTGATAAACTCAAGGAGGTAGAGACCTGTGCTGAGTTTGCTGAGAGATCGGTAGCCAAGCTGGAAAAGACAACTGATGACTTGGAAGATAAACTGAAAATGTACCAAAGAGGGGCACTCTGTACAAAGGATGCTGGACCAGACTCTGCTTGACCTGAATGAGATGTAGAGCACCTCAGTCTCACCCTGCTGCTGCTCCTCCCTCTGACCCTGATTCCATCTGAGGCCAGCCTACCCAAAGCTGACCTTTATAACTGGAAGGCTGCTTTCTCCTTTCGCTGCCCCCACCTCCCCTGTGTCTTTTTCGCTAAACTGTCTCTGCCTCTTCCCAGAGATTCCAGCTGGGCTAGAGGCTGTGCACCTTTGGGAACAACACTTAAGGGAATGTGAACACAATGCATAATGCCTTTAAAAGCATGTTGTGATGTACACATTTTGTAATACCTTTTTTGTTGTTTTATAGCAACCATTTGTAAAACATTCCAAATAATTCCACAGCTCTGAAGCAGCAATCTATTCCTTTTTCACTTTTGGAAGGTGACTTTTCAGCTTAATGCATATTGCCCTTTCCATAGAGAAGAGGAAAAGGTATAGGCCTGCCTTACTGAGAGCCAAACAGAGCCCAGGGAAAGAATCCATTATGGGAAATTTCACTGCTCTGTAAAAAGTACCCCCCAAACCAGAAAGGTGATTCCAGGAGGAGTTAGCCAAACAACAACAAAAACAAAACAAAAATGTGCTTTTCAGGTTTTCAGCTTTAAGATATCTTTGGACAATGTTATTTCTTTTTTTTTTTTCATTAGAAGTGACCAAATTAAAATGGTAAGACCTCTGAAACTAAATTTTTGTCCCAACTCTGCCCCCTCTCAACTGCCTGCAGAATGGATCATGTGCCCCTTATGTTGCAGTGACCACTTAATTGCTATCCTCCCTCCTTGAAAGATTATGTTTTGCCACTGATTTAGCCATGTGAAACTCATCTCATTATCCTTTTCTGGGTTTGAAGCTGCTCTCTCTAAAAGTGCTATCTCATTGTACTTTGTATCAGAGAAATCTTGAATAGCTTATGTACAAAACTTTTAAAGTTTTTTATTATTTTGAAGCTTTGCTTCTTTGGGTTTGTGGCACCCTGGCCACCCTGTCTGGCTGTGACAGCCTATACAGTGTGTGGGCTGGCAGTTTGCTGATCTTTTAAAGTTTCTTTCCCTACCCAATCCCCATTTTCTGGTAAGGTTTCAATGAGGTCTGTTAGGTGTACATCCTGCAGCTTATTGGCTTAAAATGTACACTCCTTTGATGTGGTCTCTTTGGGGCCAACTGGGAGAAAGACAAATCAATAGTGCAACTCTTTTGATACCAAATATTGACACAAGTGTCTTTTTGAAATAAAGAACAGGTCTCTCCAAAAAACAAAACAAAAAAGGCTTGATACAGGCAAAAGTAATACTACTTTAAAAATTTTGGCCAGGCGCAGTGGCTAACACCTGTAATCCGAGCACTCTGGGAGGCTGAGGTGGGCAGATCACCTGAGGTCAGGAGTTCGAGACCAGCCTGGCCAACATGGTGAAACTCCATCTCTACTGAAAATACAAAAATTACCAGGGTGTGGTGGCAGGCATCTGCAATCCCAGCTACATGGGAGGCTGAGCATGAGAATCTCTTGAACCCAGGAGATGAAGGTTGCAGTGAGCCAAGATTGCACCATTGCACTCCAGCCTGGGGGATAGAGTGAGACTCTGTCTCAAAAACAAAAACAAATTTGCTTCCTGACTTTTCTCAGTTCTGCCCTTTTTGGTGTTGGATTTCTCCTTACGATTCATACTGTGTCACTCCTCAGTCTGTCTTGTATGTTGTGCCATTCTAATTCCAGATTTTTCCTTTGTGGTCACACAATGACTGTGAATGTTTTAGGCCTTGCTTCCTAATACCACACAAGGGAAGAGAAAGGATCCCTTTCTGAAGATTCCGTGGAGAACAAGTTTTGGTTGTTTTTTTTCCCCCCCATATACCCAAGTAAATAGCTCCATAGATTTTTGGCCCTAAGTCATGTATCTGTTCTTTGGGGTGGAGAGTGTGTGTGTGTGTGTGTGTGTGTGTGTGTGTGTGTAAAAGCTGATTAATTTAAACCAATTAGGATTTACCCCCGGGCTGGGCATGGGATTCAGTCCCTCTCAACCACATGACTGAAAGTGAGAAAAGTTGTTTCACAGGAAATTTTTGGGTACTGTCTCCAAAGAAGAGGGAACAGAAGCCAGGTAGTCAAACTACAGGGGACTATGGCATGACCTCATGTTTTTCATACTAAACATAAATGATACCTTTTAAATTATTATCTGTTTCTGCATTTTCTGTTTTCTTCCACCAACAGTCTATGAGGGTATTCATTTGGTGATTTTTTTTCTCTCGGAAACATACTACTTCAATAATAGTGGCTAAGAGTACATGTTAATATCTTTTTAAGCAAGTCTCCCATCATTTTTTTTCTGGAAATTTCTTGGCAATTTTTATATATTTATTTGATACAAACTTTGGGATCCTGATTGGAATTACATTATATACATTTTTAACATGGAAATCCAAATCAGATAAACGTAGCTATGGAAATCAACTTGGAAATGCTCAATAGTTTCTTCTGCAAAAGGCTTTTCTTTCCTTTGTTATTATTCACCAATGTTTTGGGGGGATGAAAACCTTCTCTGTATTTTCGACCCTGGACACTTTCACAGTACCAAGAGACAGTGGACTCATGTCCCAGCTCTTCCCAGCAGATAACTCCTTAGATAGACTAAGAATCCAACAGCCTCTTCTAGTAGGCTTATTTTTGGTTATTGAGTAGCATCAACAGAAAACTGAGAGGGAAAAGAGCTGGAAATGTGGGGTTAAACTGCCTTAAACCTCAGGTATTGTGATCAGTTTTTAAAAACCATTTAAGGATGCCACACATCTCCAGAGACTTCAGACCACGGTTTCCATTTAATTGCTTCCATATGAACTATGTGTTTGCTTGCTACCTAATTTTTTTCTTATGTGAAGTATGATATTTTATCTAATGATTTTGTTATTTTCCTTAGATGTAGAAACATTGTCTTCAAGTATTATAGCACTATTTTAAAATATTTGGTTGGTGCAAAATTAACTGTGGTATAATTATTAATTATATTTTATATTTTTCTATAGATTATTATATACCTGAAATTCTAGTAAAGATGATAAATATATATTAGAATTAATAAACATTTAACCAAGTTGCTACATATAAATATTCAGAAGCCTACTTAATAACTTTTTAAGTGATCTCATGATAGGTTTGAATACAAGAGACAATGGCAATGTGTTAGTTTCACAATTAAGATTCAGTCTGGTGCAGCAGTATACAATGGAATTATTACTGTTTATTTGAATCTGTGTGTGTTTGTGTTCTTTTTTCTCATTTTACCTCTGGACATTTGTAAAGCTTGTGCTAAATAGAATGTTTACAAAATATGTTTGTAATACTTCTGTATTTTTCTTGACTTAAATGTTAGATACTGGATCAGCATTAAGGAATTACTATTTTGTAGATACATGGAAATGATTTTTACATCCATTTTCTCCATGGCAGCCCCTTTCTATATTGGTAGACTTCTTATAGTTTATAAGATATGTTTAAGTCAAAGGAGTATTGACTAATTAATTTTATTTTGAGTGTTACATAGGATATTCAGAGACAGAAATTAATTGTTGTGTTCCTTATCACATCTCTTCTTTGTTTTGCAGTGGGACTTCTCCTCTTGCATGCCTGAATGCAATGCTTCACACAAACTCCAGAGGTGAAGAGGGCATCTTCTATAAGGTTCCAGGTAGAATGGGAGTATATACTTTGAAGGTAAATATTTTGTTGGGGAGTCATTTAGAAAGAAAAAACAGGAAGTGACCACATATAAATATTTGACTCGTAGGGACAGAATTCTGTTCTTGAAGAGCTTATTTTCAGGAAGAGGTAATATTTTGAAACCTCTACCCAATACATTTTTTAAAAACTAATCTATAACTAACTATAGGTAGATCAGAGAAGTAACTTTATTTTTTATTCTTGATGATAATCTTATCTAGAAAGAACGAAATTAAAATGACTTATGGCCAGGCGTGGTGGCTCACGCCTGTAATCCCAACATTTTAGGAGGCCGAGGTGGGCAAATTGCCTGAGCTCAGGAGTTTGCGACCAGCCTGGGCAACACAGTGAAACCCCACCTCTACTAAAATGCAAAAAATTAGCCAGGGCGTAGCGGTGTGTGCCTGTAGTCCCAGCCACTCAGGAGGCTAAGGCAAGAGAATTGCTTGAACCCGGGAGGCGGAGGTTGCAGTGAGCCAAAATCACGCCACCGCACTCCAGCCTGGGCGACAGAGTGAGACTTTGTCTCAAAAAATAAAATAAAATAAAATAAAATAAAAAATAAATAAAATGACTTCTAGTGTTTTAAGGAGCCCCACAACATTTGTATAATAATTGTTTCTTTGGAGCATTCTGCTTAGATGCTTTACATTACATTCTCATTTCATTCTCTCTCACAATTCACAGTTGGGGTGAATACCATTTAATAATTTTTTATTGCTGTTTGTTTTGTTAGATAAGTACAAAAAGACAGGAAAAAGAAATATGATTACAATTAGGAAAATGTATATTTTTCTATAGACTATTATATACCTGAAATTCTAGTAAAAATGATAAATATTCCATTTTTATGATGGAGAGCCCCACAACATTTGTATAATAATTGTTTAAGAAGCCTCACAACATTTGTATAATAATTGTTTCTTTGGAGCATTCTGCCTAGATGCTTTACATTACATTCTCATTTTATTCTCTACCACAATTCACAGTTGTGGTTATTATTCCGTTTTTATAATGGAGAAAGTCAAAGTTCAGAAGATTGGATTTTCTTGCCCAGTGTTGCCCATATAGTATCAGAACCGGTATAGGAACCCAGATCTGACTGAATTCCCAAGCCCATATTCTTTCTAACATAACAAGCTTGCTAATTTCTTTCTTTTCTTTCTTTCTTTCTTTTGACAGTCTCGCTCTGTTGCCCAGGCTGGAGTGCAGTGGCACAGTCTTGGTTCGCTACAACCTCCGCTTCCTGGGTTCAAGCGATTCTCCTGTCTCAGCCTCTCAAGAAGCTGGGATTACAGATGCCCACCACCACGCCCAGCTAATTTTTGTATTTTTAGTAGAGATGGGGTTTCACCATATTGGCCAGGCTGGTCTCAAACTCCTGACCTCAGGTAATCCACCCTCCTCGGCCTCCCAAAGTGCTGGGATTACAGGCGTGAGCCACCGTGCCCGGCCTTCAAGCTTGCCAATTTCAAATTCCTGCACTGAGAAGAGACCTTTACTTATCAATAACTTTTCACTTACGAACAGGAAAACCAACTCAAATGAGTTTGAGTAAGACAATTTATTAGCTTATGTAACTGAAAATTCTAAGGAAACCCAGGCTGGATCCAGGAACTCAGTTGACATCATCAGGGTTTGGTGTCTCCACTTCCTTTTGACTTCGCTCTCAGTCAGAGTTTCTCCTCATCATATATAACTTCAGCCCCAACCTGCACTCTGCAAGCTGTAAATCTGAAGAGAGATAAGAACTAAAGCAGGAGCCTCTGACTTTATTCTGATTTGGCTTAATTGGTTTGGCTTCGCCCACATGAGTATACCTGAATTATCACACTTGTCAAATGATTGGCCAGTTGTAGATGTGGTTGAGATTAAGCTTGCTCAAGCCAGGTGAATTGAGGAGAGAGTTTTCCCCAAAGGAAATTTATCAGCTGAAGGGGAATGAATGCTTGGTAGGCAGTGACTGTGTCCATGCATATATGTGTTACCTTTTAGCTTTGAGCTGCAGTCATCACTGTGCCCAATGGTTGTGTAGAGCCTAACATTAGAAAGATCTAACCTACCTACCCACCTGCCTCCTTTTTATATACTTTGTTGAATTTCCTGGGGTTACAGGGCTCTATTCTCACATGGAACTTTCTGTATTTCTTTTTGGTTTTAGCTGTTCTAGACCTTCCATACTGTTTAAAAAATTTATTAAATGCCTATTCTATTGTAGAGATTGGGGGGAAAAAAAAACCAAAGTGTTTTCCCTATTCTCATACACCGTTAAGTACAATACTTCTAACACCAGATGTGTGGAGGTTTCTCCTCACATACCAAGCAATTCTCCAGCAGACATCAGCTGGATGTCCTTTAACAATTAGAGTTCCAGTCTGTGGCCCGTTAGGAACCCGGCTGCACAGCTGGAGGTGATTGGTGGGCAAGCAAGCATGACTGCCTGAGTTCTGCCTCCTGTCGGATCAGTGGCAGCATGAGATTCTTGTAGGAGTGCGTACTCTATTGTGAACTGCACATTTGAGGGATCTAGGTCATGCACTCTGTATGAGAATCTAATGCCTGATGATCTGAGGTGGAACAGTTTCATCTGAAACCATCCCACTCCCTGACCCTTCAGTGAAAAAAATTGTCTTCCACAGCACCAGTCCCTGATGCAGAAAGGTTGGGGACCACTGCTGTAATTCAACTCCATTCTGATGCTATCTATCTATCTGGAGACAGTGTCAGATTCCACAGGTTGAGGGCTCAGTACCCTCCCATCCCCTTCAGATGCCAACTGTCGCAAGTCCCAGGTTGTGACCTGTACTTCTGACTGTCTGGTTATAATTGGGGTTCCCTCCTTGGGTTTGATTAATTTGCTAGAATGACTCACTGAACTCAGGAAAATGCTTTACTTACATTTACCCATTTATTATAAAGGATATTACAAAAGATACAGATGAATGGCCAGATGGATAAGATGCTTAGTGTGAGGTTTGTAGGAAGGTACACAGAGCTTGTGTGCCCTCTCCAGGCTTGCCACCCTCCAGGAACCTCCATGTGATCAGCTAAATCATTCATTCATTCATTCATTCATTCATTCATTCATTTTGAGATGGAGTCTCGCTCTGTCGCCCAGGCTGGATTGCAGCAGTGCAATTTCAGCTCACTGCAACCTCCGCCTCCCGGGTTCAAGCAGTTCTCCTGCCTCAGCCTCCAGAGTAGCTGGGATTATAGGTGCTTGCCACCTCGCCTAACTAATTTTTTGTATTTTTAGTAGAGACAGGGTTTTACCATGTTGGCCAGGCTGGTCTCGAACCCCTGACCTCAGGTGATCTGCCTGCCTTGGCCTACCAAAGTGCTGGGATTGCAGGCATGAGCCACCGCACCCAGCCGTGATCAGCTAAATCTCAAAGCTCTCAGAACCCAATCCATTGGGTTTTTATGAAAGCTTCAGCACATATGACTGATTAAATTATTGGCCGTTGGTGATCAGCTCCACCTTCAGTCTCCTCCCTCCCTGAGATTGGGGAGTGAGTGAAAGTTCCAACCCTCTAGTCACATAGTTGGTTCCCCTGGAAACTAACCCCCATCCTGAGACTATGCAGTAGCTCACCAAGAGGAAGAAAAGATGCTCCTATCACCCAGGAAATTCCAAGGGACATAGGAGCTGTGTCAGATGCTCCTTTTACTCAGGAAATTGCAGAGGTCTTAGGAGCTCTGTGTTGGAAGCTGGGATCAAGGACCAAATAATAGCAAAAGATTCTACTAGTAACACTATTGCTTAGGAAATTATAACAGCTAAAAAGAGCTCTAGGCCAGGAACTGTAGTCAGGAACCAAATATATATTTCATACTATATCACAATATTACCTCTGTGCTGGACACTATAGAGACTGTAAAGAGGGTTAAGCTGTGGCCCCTGAGCTCTTGAAGCTCACATTATAGTTCCTAAAATAATTGCCTGCTCTCAAAATGTTCTTTGCTTTTAAAAAATGTGATAATATAGAGAAATAAGAATTAATTTTGAATAAAGGAATGTAGCCGTTTTTTGTTGTTGTTAACTTGTAAGATTTGAGCTGGACTTTGTCAGATAAGTAGTAAGAAGAAGGGCCTTCCAGGACATAGGAATAGCTTAAGCAAGGGCACAGTTGGAAAGATTCAGAGTGGACTTGAAAGTAGAGTAAATTGGAGTGATTAGACCATAATCTTTGCGTGGACTTAAGTGGTAAAGATTCCAGTGTGGTAAACGTTAGGTAGAGATCAAACATTGGAGGCCTTTGAAAACCTGACTGAGCAGTTTGTGTATGGGTTGTTGGGTGGTAGATGTCACAGGTTTTTCAGGAGAAAAGCATAATCAAATCCAAGTTTAAGAGAATAACTCAAGTAGGATAGATTTAAGAGTGAAGCAGGAAAATTTGTCAGAAAGGTGGTTATGGTTGTTTGGAAGAAATACTCAGGGCCTGAATTAAGAGACTAGTAAAAGAGATGGAGACAAAGGACATTAGAGGAATAAATAGAATATGTAGCATTTGGAGTGGGTAAAAGGGGCTGAAATGATTCTAGAATTTGGGGCATAGGCAGTTGATCCTGTACGGATCACATATTTTAAGAAAAGAAGATAATTATATTTATATTTCAGATACTTGTTGAACCTATATGACAAGATGTCTGGCTGACAACTAACTCTATAAAAGCTGTCCTGCATTTTGAAGGAAATAATAGAAAAATATAGGGTGTGTATTTTAAGAAAGTGTATAACATAAGAGACGGCTCAGAGAGAAATGGCACTAGGACATAAATTTAAATGAAAAATACCTAACTTAACTAGATCAGAGTTTATAGTCTTGGCTATAATGTCATACGGATGTCAGTTTTATGTAGGAGGGTCACATTTTTGTGTCTGTCAGAATTATTTTTTATCTGATTGTTAAAACGATGTGGGAAAATAAAATATTGGAGGTAAAAAGAACCACTGATAGTTTTATAGCTTAGAAATAACATTCACAGGCTAGGCGCAGTGGCACACGCCTGTAATCCCAGCACTTTGGGAGGCTAAGGCAAGAGGATTGCTTAAGCTCAGGAGTTCAAATCCAGGACCAGCCTGGGCAACATAGTAGGACCCCAGCTTTATAAAAAAATTTAAAAAATTAGCCGGGTATGGTGGCACACACCTGTAGTCCCAGCTGCTCCAGAGGCTGAGGTGGGAAGATTGCTTGCGCCTGGGAGGTCGAGGCTACAGTGAGCTGTGATTGCACTACTGCACTCCAGCCTGGGTGACAGAGTGAGACCCTGTCTCCCAAAATAACAAAAAACCACAAACACTCACTAGTGTGTTTAGCCATACATGTGTATTTTTATATATTATGTAAACACATAGTAGCTGATATTTTTTGACCTCTTATGTTGGGCGTGATTCTAAGCATTTTACATTTATTAGCTCATTTAACTTGAGCTAATTGAAGAATGATCTTTTAAGGTAGGTACTATTATCCCCACCTTATAGATGGGGAAACTGAAGCATGAAAGGTTAAGATTTTAACTGCACAATTAGGAGAGGGTAAAGCCAGGAAGTCTTGTTTTCTAGTCTTTGGTCTTGGAACTATCCTGTTATTATATCTCTCACATGCTAAGCTGACGTAGTTATCCTTTCTGATTAGCATTCTCTCTCAGTGCAGAAACCAAAGAGTTTCATATGATTTGTTAAATGATTTCTTTCTTTTTCTTTTTTTCTGTCAGGAAGAACCTTCATTTAAAAAAAGATTTCTTTTTTATTTAATTCTTGCTACTTACTAACCAATATTCAGGAACCAATTAGATTCAAATAATGCACTATCTCTTACTGTCTAGACTCTTACTCTGTAATTGAATTCAGAGTACATAGTGGTACTTACATACACACATGGACATACATATATTTAATGAAATTATTTTATTTAGTTTTTTGAGACAGGATCTCACTCTGTCACCCATGTTGGAGTGCAGTAGTACGATCACAGCTCACTGCAGCCTCAAACTTCCTGGGTTCAGGTGATCCTCCCAACTCAGCCTCCTAAGTAGCTGGGACCACAGGTGCACACCACTATACCTGGCTAATTTTTGTATTTTTTTTTGTAGAGGTGGGGTTTCACCATGTTGCCCAGGTTGGTCTTGAACTCCTGGGCTTAGTCCTCCCACCTTGGCCTCCCAAGTAGCTGTGACTACAGGAGTGTTCGTTCCACCATGCCCAGCTAATTTTTTTTTTTTTTTTGCATTTTTTTTTTGTAGAGACGGGTTTCACCATGTTGCCCAGGCTGGTCTTGAACTCCTGGTCTCAAACATTCTAACTGCCTTAGCCACCCAAAGTGTTAGCATTACAGGTGTGAACCACCACGCCCAGCCAATAAAATTATTATGTAGTTTTTAAAATGTAAGAGTATTTAATCATTTACCTGGACTCATATCTACCCAATTTTTGTCTAATTTAAGCCTGTGTTGTGCCTGCATATGAATGTTGTATATAATTTTTATCTTCGGATATAGTTGGAAACATTAGCTTATTTGCCTCAAAGAGATGACAGGAATTCAGAAAATATTGCTGGTTCTGCTACTGAATCCTATAGTAACAAAAATTAGTGCAATTAAGTTGCAACATTGCATATCAGAAGTTTTAATTTCTGTTTGCTTAAATGGTAATGATTAATCCTAATTGGATGCCTACATTTTCAGAAAGATGTGCCGGATGGGGTGAAAGAGCTGTCAGAAGGTTCAGAAGAAAGCAGTGATGGTCAGTCAGATTCCCAGAGTTCTGAGAACAGCAGCAGCAGCAGTGATGGTGGCAGCAACAAGGAGGGAAAAAAGAGCAGGTGGAAAAGGAAAGGTAAATCCACCTGATCCTTCAATAAAGTACTAAATGCTGTAGGACAAATGCCCTTGTTAGTAGTTCCTCTTTTCCCAGACTCCAGGTCAGTCAGTCACTTTCCCTTACCCTCTATAACAGTCCTGTCAAGGAGAGTTTTCTGCAATGATGGAGATGTTTATATCTTTACTGTCCAGCACAACACAGTAGCCAGTAGCTACATGGGCCTATTGAATACTTGAAATATGGTTATTATGACCAAGGAATTTAAAAAATAAAAATGCTTTCTTTTTTAGAGCTGTTTCAGGTTCACAATAAAATTGAGAGGAAGGTACAGAGATTTCCCATGTACCCCTCCCCCGCCACATGCACAGCCTTCCCCACTAGCCACATTCTCCACCAGAGTGCTATATTTGTTACAGCTGATGAACCTACATTGGCACATCATCACCCAGAGTCCATGGTTTACGTTAGAATTTACTGTTGGGAGAGTACATCCTATGGCTTTGAACAAATGTATAACGATGTGTATTCACCATTATAGTATCAAACAGAATAGTTTCATTGCCCTCAAATCTTCTGTGCTCCAGCTCTTCATCCCTTCCTGCCTCCTAACCCCTGACAACCACTGACTTTTTTTTGAGACGGAGTTCCACTCTTGTGGCCCTGGCTGGAGTGCAATGGCGTGATCTCAGCTCATTGCAACTTCTGCCTCCTGGGTTCAAGCAATTACCCTGACTCAGCCTCCTAAGTAGCTGGGATTACAGGTGCCTGCCACCAAGCCCAGCTAATTTTTGTATTTTTAGTAGAGATGGGGTTTCACCATGTTGGTCAGGCTGGTCTCGAACCCCTGACCTCAGGTGATCTACCTGCCTCGGCCTCCCAAAATGCTGGGATTACAGGCGTGAGCTACTGTGCCTGGCCTGACAACCATTGATTTTTTAATGTTTCCATAGTTTGACCTTTTCCAAAATGTCATATAGTTGGAACCTTTTCAGATTGGCTTTCCTTAAGTAATATGCATTTAAGGTTCCTCTGTGTCTTCATGGGTTGATAAGTCATTTCTTTCTTTTTTGTTTGAACTTTTAAGTTCAGGGGTACAGGTGCAGGTTTGTTCCGTAAGTAAACTTGTGCCATGGGTGTTTGTTGTGCAGACGATTTCATCACCCAGGAATTAAGCCTAGTACCCACTAGTTATTTTTCCTGATTCTCTCCCTCCTCCCCCACACCACCCTCTGAAAGGCCCCAGTGTGTGTTGTTCCCCTCTGTGTGTCATGTATTCTCATCATTTAGCTCCCACTTATAAGTGAGAACATGCGGTATTTGGTTTTCTGTTCTGGTATTCATTTGCAATAGGTCATTTCTTTCCATTGTCTGGGTGTGCCACAGTTTGTTTATACATTCACCTACTGAAGGACATCTTGGTTGCTTCCAAGTTTTGGCAATTATGAATAAAGCTGCTTTAAACATCTATGTGCAGATTTTGTATGTGCATAAGTTTTCAGCACCTTTGGGTAAATGCTAAGGAGTGTGATTGCTGGATCATATGATTAAGAGTATGTTTGGTTTTATAGAAACTTCCAGTCTACCAAAGTGACTGTATCATTTTGCATTTTGCATTTGCACCAGCAGTGGATGAGAGTTCCTGTTGCTTCATGTCCTCGTCAGCATTTAGTGTGGTTATTGTTGTGGATTTTGGCCTGATAGGTGTGTAGTAGTATCTCGTTGTTTTAATTTGCATTTCCCTAATGACATATGTTGTGGAGCACCTTTTCATTTACTTGTTTGCCATCTACATATCTTCTTTCGTGAGATGTCTCATCAGTTCTTTGACTTATTTTAAAATCAGGTTGTGTGTTTTCTTATTGTTGAGCTTTAAGAGTTCTTTGTATATTTTGAGTAACAATCCTTTATCATATGTCTTTTGCAAATATTTTCTGTGTCTTGTCTTTTTTTGTTTTGAGACATAGTCTCACACTGTTGCCCAGGCTGGAGTACAGTGGAGCGATCTCGGCTCACTGCAACCTCCGCCTTCTGGGTTCAAAGGATTCTCCTGCCTTGGCCTCCCGAGTAGCTGGGATTACAGGCGCCCGCCACCACACCCAACTAATTTTTGTATTTTTAGTAGAGGTGGGGTTTCACCATGTTGGCCAGGCTGGTCTTGAACTCCTGACCTCGTGATCCACCCGCCTTGGCCTCCCAAAGTGCTGGGATTACAGGTGTGAGCCACTGCGCCCATCCAGCCCGCCGCACCTGTCTTGTCTTTGTATTTTCTTGGCAGTTTCTTTCTCAGATCAGAAATGTTTAATGAAGTCTAGTGTATCACATTTTTTCTTTTGTGAACTGTGTCTTTGGTCTTGTATCTAAAAGTCATCATAAAACCCCTAGATTTTCTTCAATGTTATGTTATGTTCTGGGAGTTTTAGAAATTTTCATTTTTGTTTAGGTCTGTGATCCATTTTGAGTTAATTTTTTGTGAAGCGTGTGAGACCTGTATCTGGATTTCTTTTCTTTTTGACATGTGGAGTTCTAGTTAGGAATTTAATTTTGATTTTATTTTAACTTTAAATAGCCACATGAGGATAGTGGCTACCACACCAGACAACATTCTAGGTTTTACCTGGATTTGTTCTTAAGGTCTTAAGTCATCCATAGCCTTTTAGGATGCTTTTATTTTACTTGCCTAAACTTTGAGCACTTAATGCTCTAACAACCCTCCTTAGGAAAAGAATGCTTTTCATTTCTACTAGCAAACACTGAATTTAGTCTGCTGGTCTTTGCTCTTATTCCGTTTGGTGTCTACTTCATAACTCACCTGAAAAGCTTTCGTTAGGGAATAATGTCTGTTGCTGCAGCTTCCCTGGAATGGATTTTCCAGTTAAGGATATGAATTATTGCCTAATTACTGCTAATTATTCTGTAGCTTCTTGTCAGAGTCTATTCAAAGAGGGCAAATCTTGTTTATCCCAATATTTATAATTTAGCTGTACATGGCAAGGCAAATTTTAAACCAACTCTTGATGATTCCTTTACAAGGACTGACATGTTCCAGAGCAAAACAGACATTCAAGATTTTTTCTAGCTTGAATATCCTTTTAGATTTGAGTGATGATAGGTGAGTTGTCTTTGGAGCTAGAAGCTCAGGTTATGTTGGAATACTAGACTCATTCATTTAAGTCCCTTCAGAATGGTTACTATGCCTATATTAGAAAAATAGTTATAATTCACTACCATCCCTCTGTTAATGTTTTTGCTACTCCTGGAGAGAATTGAGATAATTGATGGCCTCATCTGTTCTCTGCTATAGCTACTACATACATAATTTGAGCGAACTTTGTAATCAGAGAATCTTAGCTTTAAGTTGATAACCACTTAGAGAGCTACCCAGACCTCAATTGTTAGGAATAAATGGAATGAAAGCAAGACAAAGAGGGTGCTTCTGACTAGTTAATTGTTGATGTGTGGTTTTAAATTAATCCCTGTCAGTAGTGAAAAGAGGTGTAGTCCAGGGCCCTCCATTCCCTGGGGTCCACTAAGCACGTATTTTTGAAAAAGTGAAGCCAAAAGTGTAAAGGGCTGTCTCTATCCCCTGCTTCTCCTCATTTTATTTTTTTTTATTTTAATTTTTTCGCTTCTTTTCACAAGTGTTGATTCTCCTCATTTTAAGCTTTTCCTTTTAAGTTTGGAATTGTAGATCTAAGATTAGGAGCCAAGCCAGGTCATCAAGTAAGGGAAGCAATTAGCAAGATTCATGTTTTCTGGATGGGATTGGGACAGGGAAATCAATATTAAAGAAAGTCTTGTAAAATGGGAATATACTTGGGGCCCTTGCTTTTCAAGAGCCACATATGCTGCTCTTTGAATAGTGGCTGTTGTATCTGTGTTTCTTTTGCTTATAACTAACGGTTATTAATGGCTGTCTCTAAGAATTTGAGGTGAATGTGTTAAGATGTAGGAAGATCCAAGAATTAACCATAGAACCCTATTGTCAGTAGCCGAATAGGTAGATATGAATAACATAACCTTGCTCCACACTCTGCATAATAATAGAAGACATGAACAATAAGGTAATATCAAATTGAATATTGGGTCCAATTGTTTTTGAGCTGCTTTTCATTTATTCCTTTTCTAGAAATTATTATAATATTGATTATTTGTCCTCAGTTTACAGTAAGATGAGATGCTCTATAAAGCTCTTTTCTGGTTGCAGGTAGTCTATAATAAAGCCTAGAGGAAAATGGGCGGTGTGTGGTATCTAGAAGGTGAGGTGAGAGGTGCGCATGATGTCACATGTGATTCATGTTTAAGCAGCTCTGATATTCTCAAGAAATGAATGCCAAGCTACCAATTATGAAGAATGATTTAGTCTCTCATAGAATATGCATCTGTCTTTCATGGGTCATACATGTGATATAGATACCATATAATTTGTAGGTATATATTATATATTTGTGGATGTTTTTGTAGTCCAGTGCAAATTAAAGTGACAGACATGTAGCCAGCAGTGAGTATACAGCAAAGCAGTTCTAAATCTTAGTTATCAATAAAGGTAAAGCAAGCTAATTGTGCCTATTACTTTTTCTTATTTCGGGCCTTTACTCTCAATCTGACATCACTTTATTTCAAATGCATTGTAAGACAGGAAGAACACTGAGATAGTATCAAAACCCACTTCCTTTTATGTACAAAAATAAAGAGCTCTGACAGCAAAACTGATACTTCTAGTTGAAAATCGATAGAAACTTTCTTGATATATGTATACCTTTCAGCCAAATAGGAACAGAGAATAGAACTTTGAAATTCAGTCCAATATTAAAACTAGTTTATTGATTTCTGTGTAAAGTGGAAGACTTAAAAGTTTGTAGTTTTGGTTGCTAGTTTTCAGACAGGATACACAATGTTCAGAGAAGAGTTTTATGGAATTCCAAATAAAGGTAAGGTGGAATAATAACTTCAGAAAAATGAATACGAAAATCACTATTTATATTGCTTTTTTATGATCATAGCTAAGTGAAGTCTCTGCCTTTTCCCCAAAATAAAATATTGCATTATGAAGCAACTGTAGGACTATTATTTTTATCTTCTGATAGAAAAAGTTTTGTTTAGATTTTGGTCTGCTTTTAAAGTGTCTTAAGAATGAAATTAATTACATAAAGTATACCTTTTCTCTGTAAGGAATCACTGTTTCCTCTAGTGTGAACTAATGTTAATTTTACTGCTTGTTCAGAACTACTTTAAATCAGGAATTTGATATATATTGTGTCTGGAGTTATTTAAAATACCATAAACCTATCTACCTTCTAACATTTACATGTGTGTTAAGTTACTGAATGGGTATGATTATGTCTCCTTTTAAAAGTATACTGGAGGCAAAACTTTTTTTGGCAAGTTAACTTAGATGGAGAGAGACCTTTAGGAGATTTTCTCTTTTCCTCTGAGGTTATTATTGGTGGCTGAATTGGAGGTTTTAGCACTGTGTTGTGTTAAAGATGGCTACACTGTTAGGGCTTTGGATAGTTAGACTACCCAGAAGCAAGGAAAGTGTTGAGGTGTGGCCTTTCCCATTTAGGCCAGGGGACTCTGAATATAATCAGGAAACACCGCCTGCCTAGTTTGGAGTAGATTGCACTTGGTGTTGGAGGAAGGGACTTAGAACTAAAAAGGATCCATTACCTCTAAAGAAAGACCTGTTAGAATAAAAACTCTCCCTCAAGAGAAACATAACTGTTTCTAAAGATCAAAATCATTTCGGAAACTTCGATTATTATCAGTGCTTCAACAATCAATTCTTCAACTATATATAGTTCTTAAGTTTCAATTTTGTTACCAATCCTTCAGTGTCTGATCTCTCCCTAATACTTCATAGGGGCCCATTAAATGTCTTTGGGAGAAAATAAAAATTTAAGTCAGAGATTATTTACTTAAGCTTTTAACTCAAATGCATCTACTATTAATAGTCTGTATCTTTTTGACCTTGTTCGACATTATAATCATCCATTGAAATGGAAAATTCTCAATGCTGTAATAATGTATGTATGTACCTTTTGACTTAAACTCAGTGAGCAGTATGTAAATATCCAGCAACGAGAAGCTACTGCAGTGAACTATGTAAAACTGACTGATAAGCCTCAAGTTCCAAAATTTGTTTTGTTATATTTATTTTATTTATTTTTTGAGACAGAAACTTGCTCTGTCACCCAGGCTGGAGTGCAGTGGCATGATCTCAGATCACTGCAACCTCGCCTCCCGGGTTCAAGCGATTCTCCTGCCACAGCCTCCCCAGTAGCTGGGACTACAGGCGTGCACCACCATACCAGTAGAGCCAGAATTTCTCCATGTTGGGCAGGCTGGTCTCAAACTCCTGGCCTCAAGTGATCTGCCCGCCTCAGCTTCCCAAAGTGCTGGGATTACAGGTGTGAGCCGCCACGCCCGGCCTAAAATTTGTTTTAAATGTTTTTCTGAAAACACTTAATATTAAGCTTTAAAAAAAAAAATTTATCAGCCGAGTGCGGTGGCTCACGCCTGTAATCCCAGTACTTTGGGAAGCCGAGGAGGGCAGATCACGTGAGTTAAGGAGTTCAAGACCAGCCTGGTCAACATGGTGAAACCCCTTCTCTACTAAAAATACAAAAATTAGCTGGGTGTGGTGGCGCACACCTGTAATCCCAGCTACTCGGGAGGCTGAGGCAAGAGAATCACTTGAACCCAGGAGGCCTCGGAGGCTGCAGTGAGCCAAGATCACGCCACTCCACTCTAGCCTGGGCGACAAAGTGAGACACTGTTTCAAGAAAAAAAAAGAAAAAAATTATTTACTAGATTACTCTTTGGGTTTCTTTTATGTAATGATTTTTGTTTTTTTGTTTTTAATCAAATAATAGTAACTCGATCTTTTGATCAGAATTTGTTAATCTTTTATTTCTATATGTTTATGTAGAAGCAAGCATTTTTGTTTCTAATTAGACAAAAAAATGTGTTGTTAAGAATTGTTTTAATCTGTTGAGCAGTCCACATTGGAGGATAAAGTTATAATCCTAAAAAGTGTTGTTTAAGCCATTAGTTTATTGATAACAACCAAAGTAATATCTCCGTTTAAACTACTTGTTAGGCAGGCTGTGGTGGCTCACACCTATAATCCCAGCACTTTGGGAGGCCAAGGTGGGAGGATCACTTGAGCCCAGGAGTTTGAGGCCAGCCTGGGCAATATAGTGAGACTCCTGTCTCTACAAAAAATAAAAAGTAAAATTAGCCGAATGTGGTGGTGTGTGCCTGTAGTCCCAGCTACTTGGTAGACTGAGGCAGGAGGATTGCTTGAGCCCGGGAGTTCAAGGCTACAGTGTTCTATAATGGGACCACTGCATTCCAGCCTAGGTGACAGAGCGAGACCCTGTCTCAAGAAATGAATGAATAAACAAGCAAAGAAACTACTTGTTACACTCATGCCTTCTCCAGTCTGTATTATTTGCCAGGTATTTGGGAAACAAATTTGAATGAGGTGTCAACCCCACCCTTAAAGTTGTCTCAGCATATCTAGAGGGATAGAAAAATAAGTAGATAATTAGCACATGACTTCATAAATCACATGTGTTTATATTTATCATGTTATGACAGCATTAGAGAAGGGATACTAAGTTAACTTTGCCTGGGTTACTAAGTATTAGCTATAAAAGTTCTAAGATACTATTCTTCTCTGGAGAGTTTAATCACTAGGGAAGACAGGATGTGTTATGGAAAGAAAACATATATAAAGGCAAGAAGATGAGAATGTATATAGTGTTTTCAGGAAGCCGTAAGAAGATAAATGTGGCTGGGAGAGGGGATTTGTGGAGGGAAAGAAATTTGGATCATATGGTTAACCTTTAGTGATAGTCTTATTATTTACAAGATATTTGTTGTACAAAGTTCCTTTTTTTTTTTTTTTGAGACGGAGTCTTGCTCTTGTCGCCCAGGCTGGAGTGCAATGGCATGATCTCGGCTCACTGCAACCTCCCCATCGTGGGTTCAAGCTATTCTCCTGCCTCAGCCTCCTGAGTAGCTGGGATTATAGGCGCCCGCCACCACACCTGGCTAATTTTTATATTTTTAGTAGAGACGGGGTTTTGCCATGTTGGCCAGACTGGTCTCGAACTCCTGACCTTGTGATCTGCTTGCCTCGGGCTCCCAAAGGGCTGGGATTACAGGTGTAGGCCTCCACGCCCGGCCTCACAAAGTTTCTTAGGAAAATTAAGGTATAGATAAGAGAGAGAATGGAGACACTGATGACTCTTCCAAATTTTCATAGCCAGACACCAGGAAGATCAAGACTGTTTATAGGCTGGGTGTGGTGGCTCACACCTGTAATCCCATTACTTTGGGAGGCCGAGGCAGGAGTATGACTTGAGCCCCGTAGTTCAAGACCACCTTGGGCAACATGGTGAGACCTTGTCTCTAAATAAAAAACAGCTGGTTTTGGTGGTGCACACCCGTAGTCCCAGCACTTTGGGAGGCCAAGGTGGGAGGATCACTTAAGCCTAGAAGTTTGAGACCACAGTGAGCTATGATGATGCCACTGTATTCCAGCCTGAGTGACAGAGAGAGACCCTGTCTCAAAAAAAAAAAAAAAAAAAAAGACAAAAAACTGTTTATTGACTCTTTTTTTGTTTGTTTCATATTTTTGTTCATTAAGTTTCTGAGTTAATAAACTAGCGTCTTTTGTTTTTCTGCTCACTAGTGTTTAAGTTAGCTCTGTTTCTCATCACTGGTATATAAGCTAAAATTTATTTTTGTTTTGCTTTTGAAAACCATTTGTTGTAGGTAGAATACTTCCTTGGTGTAGGATGACGTTAATTGGTGACATTAATTGGTTTCATTTGAAGTAAAACTGGTAATAGAGAAGTATAAGGGATTATTTTTCTATAAGTACCACTTTGTGAGAAAAGACTATAAACAGGGTCTTGATATAGTTAAAATAAAGCTTTAATTTTTTTCCTTTTTTTATGTTTTTTTTTAACCAAGGTCTTATTTTTAATAGTTCTGTTTTTGTTTTTTTTTTTAAGATGTAGTCCTAGGAAACCTTGCTCATGCGCTTCTCACACCCCCCCCACCCCCACCCCGCAACTGCGACTCATATCACCACCACCTCAGTTAGCTAGTTTATTCTCAAATTATTCATCATCAAGGACCAATTTTTTTCCTCTAGTCCATTGTGGACTCAGAATGACCCAGCAATGTCAAATTTCTATGAAAGTACCTAAATGTTCTTGCTTTCATGCTTATCTTGTCACAGACCAGTCTGTGGACATTTGAACAGCAATAGTTTAGATGATTTTTCAGCTTTACTTTAAAAAAGGGGGAGAGGGTGCCAAATTTTATCTTTAAAGGAGAAACTATATGAAATGATCTTGTCCCTTTTTTAAAAAATTCAGAACAGAAAATAACCCCCATCTCCCTAGTAAATAATTAACTATTACGATGCTTCATCAGCATTGTGAAAACATCCTGTCATCTCCAAATCGCTACTGGTCCTTTCTCAAAAGTAACCACCGTCCTGATTTCTGTCAGTTTGGGTCACTTGCCTATTTTTAAAATTTTAAATTAGATTATAATATATATGGATGAAGTACTATTTCTCTGAAATGCTTGGAACCAGAAGTGTTTTGGAGTTTGGATTTTTTCAGATTTTGAAACATTTGCATTATTTGGGTTGGGCATCCCAAATTCAGAAAGTTCAAAATCCAGAATGCTCCAATGAACATTTCCTTTGAGCATCGTGTTGGCACTCAAAAATTTTCTGATTTTGGGCATTTCATGTTTTCTGATTTGGAATGATCAGCTTGTATTCATTAAAGTACACGTAAGTATACAGCTTGTTGGATTTTCACAAACAGAACAGTACTATGAACTATCAACCAGATTAAGGAGCAAAATATTGCCCTAGTATCTCTCCCTGAGCTCTCTTCTGGTCACACCCATTGCTCCAAAATAACCACTCTAACAACTTCCAATAGCATAAACAAGACATGTCTAGAACAGAATAATGTCCAGAGAAATTTTTAAACTTACATAATCAAGTCATACTTAAATAATTTTTTGCTATTACATTATTTGCATGTGTGTAAGAATCATTCACCTTCTGGTGTGTAGAAATACATCAGATTCTTAAAACTATATAGAGTGGTTATTTTGGGGCAATGGGTATGACCAGAAGGGAGCTCAGAAAAACCCATAGCATTAATAAAAAAAATTGAACTGCAGAAAATGCAGTAATATATTTTTTAAAAAGTCAGTAGAACTAAAATGGATCTATAGATTCAATGGAATCCTAACCAAAATCATAGTAGGTTGATGGGAGAGGGGACATGTGGAAACTGACAAGCTGCTTCTAAAATTTACATGAAGATGAGATCAATCAGAAAAGCCAAGAAAATATTAAAGAACAAAATGGAAAGAATTAAACTATTAAATATCAGGATTAATCATAAAGCTAGGTAATTTTCTAAAGAAAAAAACATACTGGGTACATTAAGAAGTTGCATTCATCAAAACGTAACTTTAAGAGAGTGAAAAGGCAAGCCACAGAGAAGTTATTTGGAATAAATATATGCAACAAAGGAATATATGAGGAACTCCTACAAGTTAGTAAGAAAAAGAGAATTCATAGAAAAATGGGCAAAGACTAGAACAAGCATTGCACAAAGAAGATATCAAAATGATTAATAATGAAAAGGAGTCCAATTCCGTTAGTGACCACAGAAAGGCAACTTATAACCACATGCGATACTATTACACACCCACCAAAGTCCAAAATTAAAAAGACTGATGGTACCAACTGCTAGTGATCATGTGAAATAACGGGATTCTTATACACTGGTGGTAAGAATTTAAACTAGTACAACTAGTACAACTACTTTGGAAAACTGCTTGTCTGTCCATAGTATAGCTAATTCTACTCTGGTGTATATACCCAACAGAAAGGAGTACAAAAAGAAATTTTTTTAAAAAGTAGAATTAATTGTAATAGGCAAAAAATAAAAATAACCTAAATGTTCATCAAAGATAGGATAAATGAATTTGGGTACTGGTGGATGTTTATGCAATGAAAATACTATATACACACAGAGAGGAAACTGTCTTCCTGTATATGCATGTGCGTGTGCACATTTTAATGATAACTTTATTCTTTTATCTTTTACATTTAGATCTATAAACCATGTGGAATTTTTTTGTATTATGTGAGATGAGGATCATCATTTTATTCCTTTCACCCCGTAGGGATATCTTAATTACCTAGCACCCTTTTTTGAAGACTTCTTTCATTTACTTTATTGCAGTGTTCTCTGTCATAAGTCAATTGACCATATAGTTATGGTTTGGTTTCTGGACTTTGCTTTGTTCTGTTGTGTTTTGTCTTTCCTTGTAACAGTACCACCCTGTTTTAATTACTTTAGCTTTATTATTAATCCTGATATCTAATAGTTTAATTCTTTCCATTTTGTTCTTTAATATTTTCTTGGCTTTTCTGACTGATCTCATCTTCATGTAAATTTTAGAAGCAGCTTGTTAGTTTCCACATGTCCCCTCTCCCCTCAACCTGCTATGATTTTGGTTAGGATTGCATTGAATCTATAGATCAGTTTTAGTTCTATTGACTTTTTAAAAACTATATTACTGCATTTTCTGCAGTTCAGTTTTGTTCATTAATGCTATGGATTTTTCTGTCTTACAGGTCTTTGCACACTTCTTATCAGATTTATTCCTTGACATTTTTTATTCTGTTGTGAATGGCTTTAACTTTTTTTACTTTATAATTGTGTGTTGCTGATATATAGAAATACAGTTTTTATAAATTGACTGTGTCTTTGAAGTGTCTAGGATTTTACCTGATTTGTAAGTAAACAAAGCGATTAGCCTCTCATGGATTTTAACAGAAGAAACAAGAATCCTGGGTCATAGAAAAAGTACTGTATTACCCATGATAGAGTAAGCAATATGGCTACCAGCATACTTTTCGTGTCAGCTTTCCCTTACCCCAAGACTCACAGGTGATGAGATACAGGCCCAGGTGTATCCTATTCCTGCAGTGGGTTTGCATCTCAGCCAAGAAACATTAGTTTGAGGGATTCACTGCTTTTAGCAGAAGCAAGCATATTTTGCCTGGGAAGAGACATTGCCTCATCTCATGGTTGCTCTGCAACTGCAAACATAACCCTGAAAGATGGCTCAGGTAAAGAGTGTTCTGGGACTTAAAACATTGTTTGCATTCCTCGTGTGTATACACAACAGCACTCGGGGCCTGTGGTGGATTTCCTCTCTGAATATTGACACTGGATGTAACAACATTGCAAAATTAATTTTTAAAATATATTAGTTTATACATAGTTTTATGATTGTCTACTTATACAAATATGTAATTTATGAATAATGGCAATTTTCTTTTTCTTTTTTTTTTTTGCCATTTTGTACCAGCCAGGACTTACAGAAAATAGTGGAACAGACATGGTACTATCAATTATCCTTTTCATTCTCTACCTTTAAGGTAAAGCTTTTAATATTATAATTTTTGTTTGTTTGTTTTTGAGACAGGGTCTCTCTCTGTCACCTAGGCTGGAGTGCAGTGGTGTGATCTCGGCTCACTGCAACCTCCACCTCCAGGGTTCAAGCAAATTCTCATGCCTTGGCCTCCTGAGTAGCTGCGATTACAGGTGTGTGCCACCACACCCAGCTCATTTTTGTATTTTTAGTAGAGATAGGGTTTCACCATTTTGGTCAGGCTGGTCTCAAACTCCTGGCCTCAAGTGATCCACCTGCCTTAGCCTCTCAAAGTGCTGGGATTACAGGCGTGAGCCACCAATACCCAGCCTTTTAATATTATAATGTTTTAAGAATGATGTGGGCCGGGCGTGGTGGCTCACGCCTGTATTCCCAGCACTTCAGGAGGCCAAGACAGGCGTATCACAAGGTCAGGAGATCGAGACCATCCTGGCTAACACGGTGAAACCACATCTCTACTAAAAATACAAAAATTAGCCGGGCGTGGTGGCATGCGCCTGTAGTCCCAGCTACCTGGGAGGCTGAGGCAGGAGAATCACTTGAACCTGGGAGGCGGAGGTTCCAGTGAGCCAAAATTGCACTACTGCACTCCAGCCTGGTGACAGAGCAAGACTCCATCTCAAAAAAAAAAAAAAAAGAATGATGTGGAGTAGTAGGTTGTTTGTAGATACTTTTTAGTAGATGAAGTTAGTTTCCTTTTATTTGTAATTTGCTAAGAGATTTTCTAATACACAGATGTTGAATTTTATCAGTTGCTTTTCCTTCATGTACATAATTCCTGTAGTGAATTATATTGATTTTACGTATTAAATGTTAAACCAACCTTGTGTTCCTTGGATAAACCAACTTGGTTGTGATATATTATTAATCATCTGTATCATAGATTTTATTTGCTCATAGTTTGCGTTTAACTCTAAGGTTTGCCTGCATGTTTTCCCCATATAATGTCCCTGTTAAAATTTGGTATCATAAAAAAGTTGGTAATTGGTTTTTGGTTCTCTGAAATAATTTGTATAAGATTGTTGTTTTTGTAGGCCAGGTGCAGTGGCTGACACCTATAATCCCAGCACTTTGGGAGGCTGAGGTGGGTGGATCACCTAAGGTTATGAATTTGAGACTCAGCCTGGCCAACATGGTGAAGTCCCATCTCTACTAAAATTACAAAAGTGAGCCAGGCGTGGTGGTGGGCACCTGTAATCCCAGCTACTTGGGAGGCTGAGGCAGGAGAATTGCTTGAACCTGGGAGGTGGAGGTTGCAGTGAGCCAAGATTGCATCATTGCACTCCAGCCAGGGGACGGAATGAGACTCTGTCTCAGAAAAAATAAAGATTGTTTTTCTTCCTTAAAAGGTTTGGGGGGTGGGCACAGTGACTCACTCCTGTAATCCCAGCACTTTGGGAAATGGAGGTGGGCCAATCACTTGAGGTCAGGAGTTTGAGACCAGCCTGGCCACCATGGTGAAACCCCATCTCTACTAAAAATAAAGAAATCGGCCTGACATGGAGGCGGGTGCCTGTAATCCCAGCTACTCCAGAGGCAAGGCACGAGAATCACTTGAAGCTGGGAGGCGCAGGTTGCAGTGAGCTGAGATTGTGCCACTGTCCTCCAGCCAGGGAGACAGAGCGAGACTCTGTCTCAAAAAATAAACAAACAAACAAATAAATAAATAAGTTTGGGAGAATTTCCTGATAGAAACCTGGGCTGAAATGTTCCTTTTTAGGGATATTTTACTTTTAATTAAATTCATCATAAATATGGTAAAACATACAGATCACAAGTCTATAATTCACCTACATGAATGGGAATATGAGTTAGAATAAATGAGAATACTTATAATTCCTTGACTTGGGGAAAAATTCTATTAGCCTGGGCAGCACTATAATAGCTTATATTCAATGAATGACAGTGTTAAGTTCACACCATCTGTATAGCTCTGGAAAATAGGCTAAATAAAAACAAGTGTTATGCTTCAAATTGTGTCCCCTTCAAAAAGATATATTGAAATCATAACCTCTGGTACACCAGAATGTGTGCTTATTGGGAAACAGAGCTGTTGTAGAGTTAATTAGTTAAGATGAAGTCATACTGTAGTAGGGTGGGTCATTAGTCCACTAAGACTAGTGTCTTTATAAGATGGGTCATATGAAGACATGGAGACATGAAGAGAGTGCCGTGTGACGATGGAGACGAGGTTGAAGTGATGCTGCTATAACCCAAGGAATGCCAAAGATTGCTGGATGTTACCAGAAACTAAGAGAAAGGGACGGAATAGCTTATCTCACAGAAGGAACCATCCTTGCTGACACATCAGTTTTGGATTTTCAGCCTCCAGAACTGTGAAGGAATAAGTGTCTTGTTTTATACCACCTAGGTTATGTACTTTTTAAAATGACAGGTCTGGGGAATTAACATAGGGAGTAAAGTTCATTCTTCATTATACAATGTATTCAGTATGTTATATTCCCATGAAATCTTTTAAAATATTGTATAGTCATCATCTCTGCTGCCATAATCTTTCTGTTAACATTTTAATTATCTTCCTTAAGTGAGACTTGCAGCCAAAGCTGAAGGAGGCTTACATATACAAGGGTTTGGTGCCACCTACTTTCTTAATTTCTTTTTTTAGTTGGGAGACAGGGTCTTACTCTGTCACCCAGGCTGGAGGCAGTGGCGTGATCACAACTCAAGTGCAGTCTCAACTTCTTAGGCTCAGGTCATCCTCCTGCCTCAGCCCCCCAAGTAGCTGGGACTACAGCACGCCACCGCACCTGGCTAACTTTATATTTATTTATTTATTTATTTATTTATTTATTTATTTATTTATTTAGAGATGGAGTTTCACTCTTTCGCCCAGGCTGGAGTGCAGTGGTGTGATCTCAGCTCACTGCAACCTCCGCCTTCCGATTTCAAGCAATTTTCCTGCCTCAGCCTCCCAAGTAGCTGGGATTACAGGCATGTGCCACCACGCCCGACTAATTTTTGTATTTGTAGTAGAGTCGGGGTTTCACCATGTTGGCCAGGCTGGTCTTGAACTCTTGACCTCGTGATCCTCCCACCTCAGCCCCACAAAGTGCTGGCATTACAGTCGTGAGCCACCGCACCCGGCCATGTATTTTTTTTTTACATAGACAAGATTTTGCCACGTTGCCCAGGCTGGTCTCGAACTCAAGTGATCCCACCCGCTTTGGCCTCCCAAAGTACTGGGATTACAGGTGTGAGCCACTGTGTCCAGTCTGGAAGGCAGTTTATAATACTGAATACCTCCTGTCAATAAGGACAAACTAAAAGAAGCAAACTACTCTAAAAATTAGAAAAAAAAGAATAATAAAGTAAACTAATAGATAGCTGAAGAAAATAATTTATAATAAAAAAAATGGTGGAAATTACTAAATTAGAAGAGAAAAATGGTAGAAAAGGTTGGTTTTTAAATGAATCAATATAATAGACAAACTTTGTTAACCTCCTTTTTTTTTTTTAAAGGAAAAAACCATGAGTATATAAATTCAGGTTGAAATTTCAAAACAATTAAAAAACCATCAGACTTTTTCACAGTACTTTGTAGATGAAATGGGATACTTTTCTAGGAAAATACAGTACACAAAAATTGAACCCAGTAGAGATAGAAAGTATAAATAGAGTTTCATAGAAGTAGACCTGTGTTAGAACTCCCCTTCAAAAGAACACTGTACCCACATGTTCAGAGAAATTCAATCATATTTTTATTTTTTAATTTTTATTTATTTATTTATTTTGAGACAGAGTCTCATTCTGTCCCCCAGGCTGGAGTGCAGTGGTACGATCTTGGCTCACTGCAGCCTCCGCCTCCTGGATTCAAGCGATTCTCCTGCCTCAGCCTGCCGAGTGGCTGGGATTACAGGTGTGCACCACCATGCCCGGCTAATTTTTTGTATTTTTAGTAGATATGGGGTTTCACCATGTTGGCCAGGTTGGTCTCAAGCTCCTGACCTCAAGTGATCCGCCCACCTTGGCTTCCCAAAGTGCTGGGGTTACAGGCGTGAGCCACCATGCCCAGCCAGAATGCAACCATATGTTTAAAGATAATAATCTTAATGTTTTAAACACTGTTACAGAGCTAGAATAAAAAACATAACTTCTATGCTTGCTGAAAAGGTCTTTGAATAAATTTTATGCTCAATAAAATTGAGAATTGGTGGATTTCTCTTTAACGTTATAACTGAGTTGAGAAACCAGTGTCTTAAGGGGGAACACTAGTGGCTTATCCTTTAGCCAGAATGAGTCAAGAACAAGATGTCCACTATCTCCATTCTTATTTAACATTATGTTAGAGGTGTTTTGTTTTGTTTTGTTTTTTCTGAGATGGAGTCTTCCTCTGTTGCCCAGGCTAGAGAGCAGTGGCACTGTCTCGGCTCACTGCAACCTCCATCTCCTGGGTTCAAGCAATTCTCCTGCCTCAGCTTCCTGAGTAGTTGGGATTACAGGCGCATGTCACCACGCCCGGCTAATTTTCTATATTTTTAGTAGAGATGGGGCTTCACCATGTTGGCCTGGCTGGTCTGAAACTCCTGACCTCAGATGATCCACCCATCTCAGCCTCCCAAAGTGCTGGGATTACAGGCATGAGCCACCGCGCCTGGCCTAGAGTTGTTTATATCAACACAGGTAAGCAAGAGAAAGCAGTTTGAGTAACCGGCGACAAGAATCAGAAAGGATTAGGTAAAACTACTTTGTTTTTTCAGATGATACGATTTTGCGTCTGACAAACACAAAAGAATCAGTGGAGATAAATATTGATTAAAAAGAACTGTTGGCCCATGCTTGTAGTCCCAGCACTTCGGGAGGGTAGGGCAGGAGGATCACTTGAGGCCAGGAGTTTGAGACCAACCTGGACAAACATAGCGAGACTCTGTCTCTACAAAAAAAAAAAAAAAAAAAGAAAAAAGCCCGGGCGGTGGCTCACGCCTGTTATCCTAGCACTTTGGGAGGCCAAAGAGGGCAGATCACGAGGTCAGGAGTTCAAGAACAGCCTGGCCGATATGGCAAAACCCCGTCTCTACTAAAAATAAATAGCTGGGCATGGTGGCACGCGCCTGTAGTCCCAGCTGCTCGGGAGGCTGAAGCAGAAGAATCGCTTGAACCCAGGAGGCGGAGGCTGCGTGAGCCGAGATAGTGCCACTGCACTCCAGCCTAGGCAACAGAGCAATGACTCTGTCTCAAAAAAAAAAAAAAAAGCCAGGTGTGTACCTGTAGTCCCAGCTACTTAGGAGACAGGGGGATACCTTGAGCCCAGGAATTCAAGGCTGGGTGACAGAGTGAGACCCTGTGTCTTAAAAAAAAAAAAAAAAGAATTTGAGATTGTAAATAAATAGATGTAAATAAAATTAATATGTAATAATCAGCCACCATGTACATAAATAATAATGAAAAAGAATATATTTGCGGTAACAACATCAACAACAAAAAAATTCTGAGCATCACTGTTTTTTTTCTTTTCTTTTCTTTTTGAGACAGTTTTGCTCTCGTTGCCCAGGCTGGAGTGCAGTAGCACCATCACGGCTCACTGCAACCTCTGCCTCTCGGGTTCAAACGATTCTCCTCCTGCGACCTCCCAAAGTGTTGGGATTACAGGCGTGAGCCACCGTGCCTGGCCAAGCATTACTTTTTTAAGATATGTGCAAAATGTTGAAACAACTCAATACCCAAAAAGATAAAATTGCATTCATTTCTCACACTCCAGGACAAATTCCAAAGAAATTAAAGTTATAATAAATGTAAAATATGAAACCAAGTACTACAGGAAAACATGGGTGAATTAATTTCTTTTCTTTTTTTTTTTTTTTTTGGAGATGGAGTGCAGTGGCATGATCTCGGCTCACTGTAAGCTCCTCCTTCTGGGTTCACACCATTCTCCTGCCTCAGCTTCCCAAGTAGCTGGGACTACAGGCGTCCGCCACCACCTCAGGCTATTTTGTATTTTTAGTAGAGACGGGGTTTCACCGTGTTAGCTAGGATGGTCTCGATCTCCTGACCTCGTGATCCGCCCACCTCGGCCTCCCAAAGTGCTGGGACTACAGGCATGAGCCACCACGCCCGGCCAAACATGGGTGAATTTCTTTTAAAACCTGAAAATAAAGAATTTTTTTTCTCTGATGCTTCTTGAAGTGTACATGTTTATCTTTTAGTCTGGCAAACTCACTTCTAAGAATTAACCTCAGAGATAAGCTGTCAAAAATACAAAATGGCAGAGATTAAGAACAATGATTCTCAGACTCGAGCTTGCGTCAGAATCACCTACAGGACGTATGGTGCAGATTCCTGGGCCTCACTTCAGAGTATCTGATTCAGTAGATCTGGGCTTCCACCCAATAATTTTCATTTCTAATAGATTTTTAGGTAGTAATGATGTTGTTCTGGGTACCACATCTTAGAACCACTGGTTAAGATGTAGTCATGAGAACAAAAGACCAGAAACAACCCAAAAAAATACCCATCAACAAAATCTGGTGGAAGAAATCACGATCGATATACACAATGGAATTCTATGCAACTATTAAAAGGAATGCAGAAGAGTTCCATGTTCTGTTCTAGGATATCCTCCAGGATGCATTGAGTTTTTTCACTTAAATCAAAGTGGCTCCCGCCTGGGCAACAGAGTAAGACCTTGTCTTAAAAAAAAAAAAAAAATCAAAGTGCTAGACAGTTGGTGGTATATGATCTTTTGTTTAAAGAAATAAGTAAAATTATTAAAATGGGCCAGGCATGTTGGCTCATGCCTGTAATCCCAGCAGTTTGGAAGGCCAGTGTGGGCAAATCACCTGAGATCAGGATGGCCAACATGGTGAAACCCCATCTCTACTAAAAATACAATTAGCTGGGCATGGTGGTGGGCACCTGTAATCCCAGCTACTCAGGAGGCTGAGGCAGGAGAATTGCTTGAACCTGGGAGGCAGAGGTTGCAGCAAGCCAAGATCGTGCCATTGCACTCCAGCCTTGGCAACAAGAACAAAACTGTCTTAAAAAGGAAAAAAAAAGTATTAAAACATATATACTGTTGTATTTTCACAAAATGAAAAATATGAATAAAAATGAAAGGACAAACAAGAACCTATTAAAATGATTTTCTATAGAGTAATATAGTTAAGGAAGAGAGCTAGACTTATATGAAAGTAATATGTTTTGTAACGTTACATAATTTAAAATTTTTAATGTACTTCCTAGAAATAAGAAAGCAAACAAGTATGTCAAATTTGTGGCATAATGACGTAGACAAGTTATTGTGAGATGTAGCTTAGGTATGGGAGACAAGACATAAACCCTTTTCCCCCCTTTTTACAGATGTTGAAGGAGACAAATCTTAAACTGCATTCAGTAGTCTTAATTTCAATAATTATATTGGTATGGTTTCTTTGAAACTATATAGTACTAAGCAAATCAATAATTATAGTAATATTATTAGGAACCAGAAATGTTAGGCGGGAAGAAACGGGATAAAAATACAAAATCAGGCTGGGCATGGTGGCTCATGTCTGTAATCCCAGCACTTTGGGAGGCTGAAGCAGGTGGATTACTTGAGATCTGGAGTTCAAGACCAGCCTGGCCAACATGGCAAAACCTCGTCTCTACTAAAAATACAAAAAATTAGGTAGGCATGGTGGTGGGCGCCTGTAATCCCAGATACTCGGGAGGCTGAGACAGGAGAATTGATTGAACCCAATCAAGTGGAGGCAGAGGTTGCAGTGAGCCAAGATCGCACCACTGCACTCCAGCCTGAGCAACAGGAGGAGACTCCATCTCAAAAAAAAAAAAAAAAAAAAAAATCAGAAAAAAGTGACAGCTCTGTGATCTTCAATTCAAATTTGGTATCCAAGCATGAATTTCATTTTCTCTTTCTAAATGATGACTTCTTTTCTTGTTCTAGCCACTGAAAAGTTCTAGAACTAGTGGTAACCTATTGACAGTGAGCACTCCTAGTGTGGTGTGCACACTGTAGTCTTTTAATACCATTTCCAATTTAAATTTAATTTCCATTTAATATCATTTCCAATTTAAAGATGTCAGAGCTTGTTGGAGAAGTAGTTGATCCAGGTCTGGGCCAAAAGTTATGTAAGATTTGCCTGGGACAACTTTCTGTGACAGGTTGTAAAAAAGCTGTCACATATGGGTGGAGCCATGTTCCCAAGACAGTTTACAACTTGAAGGAGCTCCCACTAGGTCAAAATGGGACGATTTGGGTGCTAAGTATATATTTTTAAAACATTATATGTAGTTTGAGGTACAGTATCAAATCTTTGATAATTGCATTTTATTTAAATATTTCACATATATAAATATCTGTGAGAACTTATTGGTTTTAGGTATTGTATGAGTTTTCTGAAGTTGCAGGTTATCACACAGTGAGCGGCTTAAGCAAACAAATTTATTCTCAGTTCTGAATGCCAGAAGTCTGAAAGCAAGATGTTGGCGTGTCTGCACTCCCTACAGAGGCTCTGGGGGGAATCTGCTCCTTGCTTTCTCTAACCTTTTTCTTGCTGACTTCCTTGCCTTATGAACACATTACTCCAGTCTCTGCCTCTGTCTTCACATTGCCTTCTCATCTGTATCTGTCTTCCCTTATGCATCTCTTATGAAGAGACTTGTCTTTGGCTTTAGGATCCATTTGGATAATCCAGGATGATCTTGTCTGAAGATCCTTAACTGAGTTACACCTACCAAGGCTCTTTTCCCAAATAAAGTAACATTCACAGATTCTGGAGCTTACAATGTGGACATATCTTTTTGGTTGCCACCATTATCAGCCAGCTATAGGTTACCTATTCATTACTCTGAAAATGAAGTTCAAATCTTGGCTGTGCTCCTTACTGGCTATATATCTTTTGGCAAACTAATTAAATTTCCTGATATGTAAAACTTAGATAATACCATCATAATACGCAGATGAAGATGTATCTTTGAAATTTATTTTTGTATATAAATATATATAGCCTTAAAATCTTTGTATTTTTATTTGCATAGAAAAATATCATAAGGATGCCAATCAAACTGTCTTATTTAGTTATTTCTAGAAGTATAATTTGAGGAGTTTAGGTAGGAGTAGAAAGAAAACTACCCTAAGAGAGAGTAATTATGAGAGTTCAATGAACTCCTGTTAAAATGAACTAGTACAGTGTTAGGCACATAGAAGATACTTGTCTGCTGTTATTAATAATAAAATTATATGTCTTTGAAGGTACTCAGTGTAGTCACTAAAAGGAATTATAAGACAGAAGTTTCTCAACAGAGATAAGTTTAAATCTTTAAGTCTCTTTTTTTTTTTATTAAACGATAGGGTCTCATACTGTCACCCCCTAGGCTGGAGTGCAACCTCCCAAGTAGCTGGGACTACAAGTTTATGCCACCATGTCCAGCTAATTAAAAAATTTTTTTTTCTAGAGACAGGGTTTCATTATGTTGCCTAGGCTGGTGTCGAACTCCTGGCCTCAAGTGATCCTCCCACCTCAGACTCCCAAAATGCCGGGATTATAGGTGTGAGCCATGTGCCAGGCCTGTGTTTAAGTCTTATTTGCTGCTTGTAATACTGAGTCTTTAAAAGTTAGAACAAGCCTGGACAACATAGCAAGACCCCATCTTTTAAAAAAAAAACTTAAAAATTACCTGGATGTGATAACACATACCTGTGGTCCCAGCTACTCAGGAGGCGAAGGTAGGAGATTGCTTGAGCCTCGGAGGTCAAGGCTGCAGTGGGGTGCGATCATGTCACTGCACTCCAGCCTGGGCAACAGAGTGAGACCCTGTCTCAAAAATAACATATAATAATTTTAAAAGTTAGAGTAGTAGTTAAGTTTCATAGAGCAGTACTTAGCATTAAGTCAACTCTGGGAAATGTTTATACTGGTGGGTCCTGTAATTTTCATGATTTATTTTGGTTGGCTTAGTTAAATGCTGTGGTTTAATTTGTTAAAAAGGGTGTTTGGCTTAAAGGTAAACATTCTAAGCAGTTTGTCCTGGTAATTGCAGATAGCTTTATTGTCACTTTTCTGGGCTGCAGAGTAGAATTATTATATTTTCTAGTGGAGTTATTCTGGCTTTTTGTTTTCTGTTTGTAATCAGGCAGTATTTGGGGTAGGCGAGGAAATGTATAGTCTTGAGATTTCTGCAAGACGTTGTTAAGAAAATATTAATAGTTTTAACTTTTACTTTTGTCTCTTTAAAAACATTGGCCAAGTAAAAAAGACAGACAATAATAAGCATTGGCAAGGATATAAAGAAAGTGGCCTTGTACATTCCTGGTGGAATTGTAAAAATAGTGCATCCATTTTGGAAAACAGCTTGGCAATTCCTCAAGTTAAACATAGAGTTACAGTAAGACCCAGCAATTCCACTCATAGGAATGAACCCAAGAGACTAAAAGCACATACATAAAACATCTGCACACAAATGTTCTTCATAACATTGTTCATAATAGCCAGAAAGTAGAAACAATCCAAATGTTCATCAGCTGATCTATAGACAAAACGTGACATAAGCATGCAATGGAATATTATTTTACGATAAAGAATAAAGTATTTATACATATTGAAACATGGATGAGCCTTCAAAAGTAAGCACTTTGTTGAAAAAGTCATTCACAAACGAGCACTAATGTATGATTTCATTATATGAAATATCCCTAAGAGGCAAATTTATAGAGACAAAAAGTAGATTACTGGTTACCTAGGACCACGGACATAGATGGGGTAAAAGATGAGTAACGGTTAACATGTATGGTGTTTTTTGAGGGGTGATGATTGTACAACTTGGTGAATATACTGAAAGCCATTGAATTTTATGCTTTTTTCCCCAACATTTTCAAAATAAATTTAATTTTGTTAGCTTACTAGGGAAAATTAAATCACTAGTCACACAACAAATTGACTCTGAATGGATTGCAAAACCAAAGTTTAAACCTAAATCCTGATGCTTTTAAAAGAAAACAGAGAATAACATCTTTGTGGTCTTAAGATAGAGAATGATTCCTTAAATAAAACAAAAGATATTTAATATAGTGGGGAAATAACAAATGAGATTATTTAAATATATTTTAAGTATTTCTCAGACAGAAAGAGGAGGAGACTGAGAGAGGGTGTATTAGGTTGTTTTCACACTGCTATAAATACCTGAGACTGGGTAATTTATAAAGGAAAAAGGTTTAGTTGACTCATAGTTAGTTCCACATGGCTGGGGAGGCCTCAGGAAACAACAATCATGGCAGAAGGCGAAGGGGAAGCAACCAACTTCACATGGTGGCAGGAGAGAGAAGCGAGAAAGAGCAGGGAAAACTGCCTTTAAAAACCATCAGATCTCATGAGAACTCACTATCACGAGAACAACGTGGGGGAAGCTGCCCCCATGATCCAGTCACCTTCCTACTTCAACAAGCGGGTGATTACAGGTCACTCCGCTGACACGTGGGGATTACAATTCAAGATGAGATTTGGGGCCCAGCGAAGTGGCTCGTGCCTGTAATCCCAGCACTTTGGGAGGCTGAGGTGGGTGGATCACCTGAGGTCAGGAGTTTGAGACCAGCCTGGCCAACATGGTGAAACCCCGTCTCTACTAAAAATACAAAAATTAGCTGGGCGTGGTGGTGGGCACCTGTAATCCTAGCTACTCAGGAGGCTGAGGCAGGAGAATCACTTGAACCTGAGAAGCAGAGGTTGCAGTGAGCTGAGATTGTGCCATTGCACTCCAGTCTGGGTGACAAGAGCGAAACTCCATCTCAAAAAAACAAAAAAAAGATGAGATTTGAGTGGGGACACAGAGCCAAACCATATCAGAAGACTAACTAAAAAAGGACATCTATCTAGCATACATAAAAAACTACCACAAGTCAACAAGAAAAAGACAGCTATTAATAAAACCACGAGAAGACAGGCAAAATGAAATAACAGTCTTCAAAATAGAGGTTATTCAGTGACTAAAAAAATGTTAACAAGTGTTCAGCTTTCTTAGCAATCTGAGAAAGCCTGATATAAACACAGCAACCAGGAGATTGAAATGAAAATGACAGAGAATACCAAGTGTTGGCAAGGATGTAGAAAACTTATACACTGCTAGTGGCTTCAAAATTTTGTACAAACATTTTGGAAAACTGGCAGTATCACCTAAAACTGAAGAGATGTAAACATAAAACACAATTCCGCTACTACATATATACCCCCAAATCTTTATGTGTTACCAATGCATTTTCTAGAATTTAGATACTAGTACTATTCCTAATATTCCCAGATGAAAAACACTCACATGTACATAAGCAGTGGAATAATTGTGTGATATTTTCACAACAGAATTCAATGCTATTAAATGATTCACAACATGGAAAACTACATATAAATTCAAAACAGCCTACAGAATGTAAAAAGACATGTACAAAAGAGTTCCTGCTGCACAATATTTATATAAAGTATAAAAGAGGTAAAAGTAACCTCTGCTATTAGATGTCAATGTAGTGCTCATCCTTGAAGATTGTGACCGGCTGGGATCACAAAAAGATAGCTGTGGGCTTAAAATATCCTTTTTTAAAAAATTTAAATATAAAAAGCTTCAGTGTGCTACCCACTTGTGATCTGTGTACATATGTTTAAATATTTTAATTTTTTTAACTTTTGTTTTAGGTTCGGGGTACATGTGCAGGTTGTTTGTATAAGTAAATTATATGTCATGGGGGCTTGGTGTACAGAATACTTTGTCACCCAGGAAATAAGCATAGTACCTAATAGGTAGTTTTTTTATCCTCACCCTCCTTCCACCTCCACCCTCAAGTAGGCCTCAAATTTTATACTTTAGGCAAGATGTATAGTATATGAATTATATATATATATATTATTTTTTCTTCTGTGATGGAGTCTCACTGTGTTGCCCAGGCTAGAGTACAGTGGCGTGATCTCAGCTTACTGCAACCTCCGCCTCCCAGGTTCAAGTGATTCTCCTGCCTCAGCCTCCTGAGTAGCTGTGACTACAGGTGTCTGCCACCACACCCAGCTAATTTTTGTATTTTAGTAGAGGCGGGGTTTCACCATGTTGGCCAGGCTGGTCTTGAACTCCTAACCTCAAGTGTTCCACCTGCCTCGGCTCCCTTTGGGATTATAGGTGTGAGCCGCCGTGCCCAGCTGCATAGTATAAATTTTATCTTAAGCTATTTTTTAAAAATTGGTCAGTATCAAAGTATACTGAGGCTATGATTTTTGTTTTTTTTTTTTTGAGATGGAGTCTCTCTCTGTCGCCCAGGCTGGAGTGCAGTGGCGTAATCTCGGCTCACTGCAAGCTCTGCCTCCCAGGTTCATGCCATTCTCCTGCTTCAGTCTCCTGAGTAGCTGGGACTACAAGCGCCCGCCACCACACCCAGCTAATTTTTTTGTATTTTTAGTAGAGATGGGGTTTCACCGTGTTAGCCAGGATGGTCTCAATCTCCTGACCTTGTGATCCGCCCGCCTTGGCCTCCCAAAGTGCTGGGATTACAGGCGTGAGCCACCGCGCCTGGCCAAGGCTATGATTTCTTTTTGCAGCTGAACTGTCTTGAATTATTCAACTCCATTTTTAAACATCAAGCTTTTTGTACATCAGCTCTTTTCCATATATAAATTATATACTTTTTCATAAAGGTTGGGATACAGAACTAAACTAAGTATGACGATAAGTCAGCATCTTTTTTTTTTTTTGAGATGGACTCTCGCTCTGTCACCCAGGCTGGAGTGCAACGGTGCGATCTCGGCTCACTGCAACCTCCGCCTCCAGGGTTCAAGGGATTCTCCTGCTCAGCCTCCTGAGTGCCTGGGATTACAGGCATGTGCCACCACACCCGGCTAATTTTTGTATTTTTAGTAGAGATGGGGTTTCACCATATTGGTCAGGCTGGTCTTGAACTCCTGACTTCAGTCGATCCGCCTGCCTCAGCCTCCCAAAGTACTGGGATTACAGGCGTTAGCCACCACGCCCGGCCAAGTCATCATCTTAATTGTTTGATGCTATCTTCTTTAAATGCATCTGCTGTGCATTCCTTTCTTAGGACATCTAAGTAAATTGAAATACTATAGTCCAAAACTTGCATACTCCAATGAGCTATGCTTCTACATTTTTATGTCCGGTAGCTAGCTACAGAACGTATGTACCTTTTTTTTTTTTTTTTTTTTTTTTTTTGAGACCAAGTTTCGCTCTTGTTGCCCAGGCTGGAGTGCGGTGGCATGATCTCCTCACCACAACTTCCGCCTCCCAGGTTCAAGCGATTCTCTTCCCTCAGCCTCCTGAGTAGCTGGGATTACAGGCATACACCACCACACCTGGCTAATTTTGTATTTTTAGTAGAGATAGGGTTTCTCCATGTTGGTCAGGCTGTTCTTGAACTCCGACCTCAGGTCATCCACCCACCTTGGCCTCCCAAAGTGCTGGGATTGGAGGCATGAGCCACCGCACACGGTCTTGTGTGTACTTTTATGACATCTTAAAGCTTATTGCCCTTACCATGGGATATCATTTTGCTATTTGGGCCTTTTCAGTCCAACTACTATGAATAGGGGAAGACTTTAGTAAACATTCATTCTTCAAGAGTCATCACTAGCAGTAGTGATTATAATTTTTTTTTAATAAGGGTACTGAATCAGCAATTTCTGTATTTATCGTAAACACTACTCACATATTGTTTAATTTTATAGAACATAAATATCTACTTGCTGTTTAAGAGGTATAGATTCTTAAAGAACCCTTGTTCGCATAAGACCCACTCAGATCTGGCTAAACTCTGCCAGGCAATATAAAACAGCTAGTGATGAAGTAGAGAGTGGTTACATCTTATGCAAATTCAAATTGCTTCCATTAGAGACATCTTAAAATGCCCTCTCACGTTGGTAAGCCTGTAACTGTTGATTTAAAGGATGAAGGAATGTAAGGATTAAAACTGTGGTAGAGTTTTGAGGTCGAATGGCCTTAATGTCTTTATTTTAAACTGCCAACCCAAGGCCCTTCCACTGTATCGTGTTGTCATTAGATTTACTGTGAGACCATAGATACTGTCTTAAAGGCCCTAGAATCTTTCCTAAGTTTTATCTGATTTGATGAGTCATTCTTCAGTCAATTCTATTGAAAAAGTAATAAATGAAAAGTAATGAATACTAACACTCATCCCTTCCCTATCCTATCATCCTTCATTAGAACTTTCTGAGGAAAAAAACTGAAAAGGGAGGCTGTTTGCAGTAAAACTCCAAAAAGTACATCGTTCCCAAAAGTGTTTGGTCATAGTTCTTACTCCAGGTAGCAGCATATGATTGGGGAAGGAATGGTGCTTGGTATCTCTGTTAACAAAAATCTTTTATTGTCACTTTTTTTTCCCTAGTATCGTCGTCCTCCCCGCAGTCAGGCTGCCCATCACCCACCATTCCAGCAGGTAAAGTCATTTCTCCATCACAGAAGCACAGCAAGAAGGCACTAAAGCAGGTAAGCATTGCTAGTCTGTATTTATCAAGTAGAATTTCCTGTATTTAAAACGCACACCTCTGGCAGTCATCGGATATTTTTTGAAAATTTTTTACATTGGGCCCTTGCCAGTGGAACTTTCATGCAGTAGCCCAATGTGGTTTTAGTAATTTATGCACCTCTTTGTAACACATGTTACATACGTTTTTGGTAGATACTTTGTTTTTCTGAGACAGAGTCTCAGTTGCCAGGCTGGAGTACAGTGGGTGCAATCTCAGCTCACTGCAACGTCTGCTTCCCAGGTTCAAGCAATTCTCCTGCCTCAGCCTCCCAAGTAGCTGGGACTACAGGCACCTGCCACCACGCCCAGCTAATTTTTGTATTTTTAGTAGAGACAGGGTTTCACCATGTTGGCCAGGATGGTCTCAATCTCTTGACCTTGTGATCTGCCCACCTTGGCCTCCCAAGGTGCTGGGATTACAGGCGTGTGCCACCGCACCTGGCCGGTAGATACTCTTTTTATCACATTTTTTAAAGTGTCTAATTTGTTCGTAGTTTGCTCAGAATCTTTTGTTTGTTTGTATATGTGTTTTAAAATCATGAATAGGTATTGAATTTTTCAGGTTTGTTTTCTTTGGGATTTATTGAGATGATCACATAGATTTTTCTCTTTTAATCTACTAACACAGAGAATTACACACAGCTAGATTTTCTTTTCTTTCTTTTTGTCTTTTTTGAGACGGAGTTTCGCTCTTGTTGCCTAGTGCAACCTCCGCCTCCCGGGTTCAAGCAATTCTCCTGCCTCAGCCTTCCAAGTAGCTGGGATTACAGGCACCCATCACCACGCCTGGCTAATTTTTGTGTTTTTAGTAGAGACAGGGTTTCACCACGTTGGTCAGGCTGGTCTTGAACTGCTGACCTCAAGTGATTCAACTGCCTCGACCTTCCAAAGTGCTGAGATTACAGGCGTGAGCCACCGCACCTGGCCTAGATTTTTTAATATTACACTGTACATAACTTGGTTGGGTGCAGTGACTCACGCCTGTAATCCTAGCACTTCGGGAGGCCAAGGCAGGCGGATCACCTGAGGTCAGGAGTTCAGAGACCTCCTGTAATCCCAGCTACTTTGGAGGATGAGATGAGAGAATCATTTGAACCCAGGACGTGGAGATTACAGTGAGCCGAGATCGTGCCACTGCACTCCAGCCTGGGCAACAGAGCAAGACCCCGTCTGAAAAAAAAAATTAAATAATAAAAAATAAATGAATGTACATGATCACAGCAGAAATAGATGCAATCAAGTGGTTCTAATAAATTTTACGTTAACCTGAAATTACATGTGTCCTGTGAGGAGCAAGGAATGAATACTGGTGACTGCACTTGCAGGAATTTATGAACATCTTCTGATCTAATTGCAAAGAATGAGAGAATAAGCGATAATCAATGGTCAGTCAATACTGCCATTTTATGTACTTTGTGCTTCTGCCTCACCTATTATAAATGTAGGTGAGGCTAAGCGAGACATAGAGCTCTCTCAGTTGCTTTTCTGCATTGGCAACTTAGAGTGAGGAGATCATTTGTTGCCACTGTGCCTATAGCATAGCCAGAGATACGTGTGAAATGTTAAGCAGGAGGAAACTATTGGGAAAAGAAAATAGGAAACCAGAAGTAGCCAGTTACTCCACACTTTGCTACATGACAGTCTTAAAAGCTTGAAAATGGCAACCTAGCAAAGTCAAACTTCAGTTTTTTTCCTGAAATTACTTTCTTCGTTTCTTTTTCTTTTTTTTTTTTTAAAGAAAACCTTAAGTTAAAAGTTGCCTTCATAATGTTTTTGTGATTAAAATTTGGGTATTTCTTGTTTTTTTCTGTTCATTTTAAATAGCATTATCAAGTATATTTTATAAATTAAGAACCTCATAGAAATCAAAATATTCTGAAGTAGACAGAAGGAACCACACTGTTGTTAGAACCAGTATTGTCTAGTCTTCCCCCTCTGTTTACTGCTTTGCTGTAAATTGCTGAAATTTGATAATTGGGACAAATCTCATTGCTGTCACCCAAGACAACTGATGTAGTTATTTACAAACTTCTGTAAAAATATTGTATCTCTGAAGCCTGCGTAAACTGAATATTTACATTTCTACATAGGTTTGATGCAGATAGGGCTCTTTTTGTTATAAGGCTTAGAATTTCATTTCTAGAAATGATTGAAAACGTACTGTCTCTGCTTTACAAGACTGGGAAGTTTTTGGCTTACCTAGTGATTTTTTTAAGTTCCAAAAAATGCTAATGACTTTTTCACATTTATATAAAGGAATGATACTGGCAAAAACTATCCAAACTCTAAGAATCATTTAGGCCTTGTGTTTAGTTGGCTTAATTTAAATTGATAAGAACAGATACTACACTTGATCTTAGCCAAAAGGCCAAGAAGCGAGAGTTAGCTTAATTTAGGTTTTTGTTTGCTTTGATAGATTTCAAAGAAATTGAACGATCAGCATGCTTCTTGCCATTTAAAAAAGAAGTAATTTATATTATTACTAAAAAACTGATTGGTTTTGTTTCTTATAGTCTGTTTTATCTTTATAGGCGCTAAAGCAGCAACAGCAGAAGAAGCAGCAGCAGCAATGCAGGCCAAGCATATCCATCTCCTCCAACCAGCATCTCTCACTAAAGACTGTCAAAGCAGCCAGTGACTCTGTACCTGCCAAACCTGGTAGGCAGTTTGGGCAGTTTTTCAATGGAAGTTTCTTTTTCCTAGTATTTTTATGTTGGTTTTCCTGATTTGTTTATGACATCATTTATTTTTAAATTATATTTACTTACACAATCCTTGTACTGCCAAAACATCAATATAAATCCAGGATAAATGGGAAAAGTTGTGTGCAAAATAATCATGCAGTTATTAAAAAATAACTCAGAGCCCAGGAGTTCAAGACCAGCCTGGGCAAAATAGTGAGACCCTGTCTCAACAACAACACAGAAAATTAGCCGGGTGTGGTGGGGCACACCTGTAGCCCCAGCTACTCGGGAAGCTGAGGTGGGAGGATTGGTTGAGCTCGGGAAGTCAAGACTGCCATTAGCCCTGATCTCACCACTGCACTGCAGCCTGAATGACAGAGCGAGACACTGTTTCCAAAAAAAAATGTTAGCACTGGGATTTGCATATAAGAAGGAAATAAATGACTGACTTTAAAGATGGTCTAATCTAATAAATATTTGGAAACCTCTAATCAGCAACCTTAAAATCTGATGTTTCCAAGAGGCTCAAACTAAACTCTTAGCCAGTTTTCTGTAAAAATAACAGGGTTTCCTAAGAATACATACAACCTTTGAGTTTCTTTTGGACATGTCTGTAAGGCCTTTGGATCTTTTGTTGTGGTTGCTTGTTTGTTTCTACTCTAAACTTTCTAGACACAGACTCTGTATTGTATTACATAATTCAGTTTGATACCATAAGCTGATTCTATGGGCCTGCCAGACTCAATCTGAATCTTACAGAACTGCATTTTTATGAGAAAGGAAATTTACCACTAGAAGCAAATAGTATGCTGGGAGGAAAAACAGGGTTTTATTTTACTCTTTGACTTTAATTTTCAAACTCAAAACACATTAGGGAGGGTCACATTGCCTCATACATAACTTCATTTAGTGAATGTTGAATGATTGATTAATTGATTCTGTCTATAATCTCAGTGCTACCAGTCTTTATACGTATTTTTTTCTCCTAGCAACATGGGAAGGAAAGCAATCTGATGGACAGACAGGCAGCCCTCAAAACTCAAACTCCAGCTTTTCTTCCTCAGTTAAAGTGGAAAATACTTTACTAGGCTTGGGGAAGAAGTCATTCCAGAGATCTGAGAGACTCCATACCAGTAAGTTTGCTTACAAAGACTTCAGTTTTCATTGCCATGATTTATCAGCTACATGTTTGAAATTCATCAGCTACCTGGCTTAGGTACTTATAACTTAGATTTGAGTTACATAGCAAAGATTAGACATAAGTTTTTTTTGTTGCTAACATAATTACTGTTAAGAAATGAAAAGTAACAGGAACGGAATTGATTTAGTATGTCTTTCTCCTGCTATCCCCTGTTTACCTTTGAGCTCTTGACTATGTTCATGTTCTTCCTGTCTTCCTCTTAACAAACTTTATTTCAGAGAAAGATCTATTATCAGTCATTTTGTGGTTTATTTCCCTTTCTGCCAATAGGTTGCTTTGTCCAGCATTATTCATGTTTTATTTCTGTGTAAAGAAAGATAGAAGGGCGTATGATTAAATATATATGACAGACTGAAATTTCTTCTCTCTATTCCTTTTGAAATCCCACTGAAATGATAATATAGAAATACAAAAGATCAAATCCATACAGGTGAAGAAAACAAGGAGACCACAGCTGGGCAAGAGATGTCAGCAAATTTTGAGAGATGAAAACTGGATAGAATTTTTCACTGAGCTGAAGAGCAGTTGCCAGGGATAAAGCAGCCACATAAGGTTGCAGAACACCGGGAAGGCTCAAGAATTGGAGATACAATGTATTACAGAAGAGAAGGGGGGAATTTTGTTTGAAAGTTAGTAAGAAGCAGTTTGATGCCTTACCCCAGCAGGAGACAGGAGGTTTATTTTGAAGTGAAATTTCAACCAGAGAAACTCCACATTCAGGGATATCAAACATAGCTGGGGGCAGATGAGGAGGCACTGTACTGAAATCTGGAAAATCAAGTAAAATGTAAATACTGTAAATACTGAATAGGGATTCTCCTCCTTGGCTTCCAAAATGCTACTAACAAGGCATATTTCTAACACCACTACTTCCTTCTTCCTCCCATCGTGTTCGAGCTTGAGATTGGTGGATTGGTACCTAAAGACATTGAATAGTCTTAGAAAAAAGTCTGCAGGCAAATGTATAGGTTCCCAGATAAGCAGAGATCATCTTGATAATGTTTCAGTAAAGTTGAAGAAATTTCTTAGAAAAATCTGTCAAAGTTAAAAAGAGGTTCAGTAGGAGAGAAAAAGTAAGAAACTTGGAACACCAATCTAGGTCGTACAATGTCTCACATAGTAGGACTATCAGAAAGGAAGAACAGAGTGTGATAAAAAACAATATAAGAACATTATTTAGAATAAAAAGCCACAGAATTCCAGATTAAAAATGTGTAATAGGCATTAAGAAACATGAGTGAAAAGAAACCTATGCCAAGGCATGTTTTTTTTTAAAGATCTCGAAACATATGGGGTCATGAAAAGGTAACAAAAAGCCTCCAGAAAGAAGAAAAATACTTCACATAGAAAGATTCAAGAATTGGGAGTACAGATATCCTTAGCAGCAACATGGAAACTAAAAGTGCAGCAGTGCTGACACATTCTGAGGGAAATTTATTCTGTATTCATTTACATATTCCAGACTGATCTAATGAGAACAGAATTAACAATAATTTAAACAATGCTTTGTAAAAAATAAAAAATAAAAAAACCTTAGTTTGATTCTAGAGGGGATTGTACATTTTTCTTAATGTAGTATATCACATATTTAAACCGAATGTGCCCTTTGATCATCAGTTTCACTGCTAAGAATAAAAATATTTATTAAATATCTATGGAAGAAATGCTAATAAGCCAAACACAGATTTAGAGTCCTAGGGCTATGATGATGAACAGAGCAATATTTCTTCCTCATGGAGCGCATATTCTACTTAAAATCAGTTAAAATTGAAAATTTTAGTAAATTGCAAAAGAAATGTAGAGGTACAAAATTGAGAAATTATGGACCAGGAATTTTTAACTTTCATGGAAAACTAGGAAAAATTAACCATAAAAAAAGAAAGCACCATTTCCGTTTATTTAAGTTTGACCTAATGGCTGAGAAGTAAGCAGAAGTCCATCTTCTTTCAAGCAAATGAGCGTAAAGGGAAATAGTGTGGAAATTTTTGTAACATAGCCACAATGACTATTTTCTTTTTTTTTTTCTTTTTTTGAGAGGGAGTCGCGCTCTGTTGCCCAGGGAGTGCAGTGGCCCGATCTCGGCTCACTGCAAGCTCTGCCTCCCGTGTTCATGCCATTCTCCTGCCTCAGCCTCCTGGGTAGCTGGGACGACAGGTGCCCGCCACCACGCCCGGCTAATTTTTTTGTATTTTCAGTAGAGACGGGGTTTCACTGTGTTAGCCAGGATGGTCTTGATCTCCTGACCTCGTGATCTGCCCGCCTTGGCCTCCTAAAGTGCTGGGATTACAGGCATGAGCCACCGCCCCCAGCCACACAATGACTATTTTCAAAACACGTGGAAGAAGTTGTGTAAAACATAAATGATAAAACTAAATTAGCTAATTTATATAAAATACTTTCTAGCTGACATTGGTATCATTTTTATTAACTTCAGTAAAATTGATAATAAATATTTTTACATCCCAGATTCAGTCAGAAGACTAAACATACCTCAGATTTCAAGTATAATATAATAGATTAAGTCAACCTAAATTGAAAAAACTTGGGTAAGTCATCTTTACTAAAATTAGAGGACTTAAACTGACCACTTTGAGGCACAAAAGTATCTTCAGGGAACACAGTTCAGTCAGTAGTAGAAAATAATTCACAACTACTTCCCAGTCTTTTAAGAAGTGAACATTTTAACTGAAGTTTGACTGCGATGTGCAGGTACAATGAATGCATAAATAGTAAAAATTTTTCAAGGAAGGTTGACAGTCCAATTCCATTAATTATATGGGAAAAGCAAACAAAGCTGTTGCTTCTCAAAAGTTTATAGAGGCATTGCAACATTGTTTATATTAATACAAATATTGTTTATATTAATACAAACATTGTTTATATTAAACAAAAAACTGGTAGCCACCTACCTTTATCATCAGTGGTATTCCATTTAAATTCATCATGGTATATAGCAAGTTTGCCCAACCCACCACAGGCTGCATGTGGCCCAGGATGGCTTTGAATGCTGCTCAACACAAATTTATAAGCTTTCTTAAAACATTATGAGATTTTTTTTGGTGATTTTTATTTATTTATCTTTTTGTTATAGCTCATTAGTTAGTGTTAGTGTATTTTATGTGTGGCCCACAACAGTTCTTCTCCTTCCAATGTGGCCCAGGGAAGCCAGAAAATTGGACACCCCTGGTGTATACATTGGAATGTGATGCAGCTTTTTTTAAAAGAAAGAAGATGAATTTGTAGGTGGTAATTTGAAAAATGTCCCAAGATATTTAGTGAAATTAAAAACCAAATATGATTAACATGTACATTGTGATTTCATGTTATCCAATTTAAAATGTCATTTCTGGCAGGAAGGTTGGGTTTGAATGTAGAAACCTTTGTTTTTATTTTGTATCTTTAGGTACTATTTGAATTTATAGACAACATTTACCTCTTAGACACTGTTTTTATTATTCACTTTGAAAAGATTTAAAATTTTATTGTAATTTATTCTTTGTCCCAGGAGTTATTTTGAAGTTTTTTTGGTTTGTTGTTGTTAATTTCCAAATATATAGGGATTTTTGTTTATCTTTTTGTTATGAAGCCTCTGGTCAGATATCATGGACTGTGTGATGCTTATGCCTGTGTGGCATTGTGATGAACAACAGACTTGAAAATCAAATCGCCTGGGTTTAAATTCCTACAGTAACTTAATAATGTGACTTGGGCAAGTTATATCTGGGCCTCACTTTCTTCATCTGTGAAATGGGGTGATAATAGTTACCTACTTCATAGGGTTGTGTGAAAAATAAATGAGTGAATATATGTAAATGCTTAGAACAGTGTCTGGCACTTAGGAAGCCCTATGTAAGTTGCTGCTGCTGCTGTTGCTCTTACTGCACTACTATTACTCAAAATTTACTGAGACCTCCTTTTTTTGACCTAATGATACTGAATTTAGAAATATACTCTAGTTGTTCAACACAGAATTCTGTGCTTGTTAGATCAAGCTTGTTAATCTGAAATCAGCTTTTTTTTTTTTTAACATGGAGTCTTGATCTGTCACCCAGGCTGGAGTGCAGTGGCGTGATCTTGGCTCACTGCAACCTCCGCCTCCCAGGTTCAAGCGATTCTCCTGCCTCAGCCTCCTGAGTAGCTGGGATTACAGGCACACGTCACCACTCCTGGCTAATTTTTGTATTTTTAGTAGAGACAGGGTTTCATCATGTTGGTCAGGCTAGTCTCCAACTCCTGACCTCGTGATACCGCCCGCCTCAGCCTCCTAAAGTGCTGAGCTGGGATTACAGGCATGAGCCACTGCGCCCAGCCTGAAATCAGCTTTTTTAGTGAGTGATAGCTCCTTCTGGTTTGCTTGATTTATTAATAATGGAGAGAGATGTGTTGAAATCTCCTATCCAAATGGTGGGTTTGTCCAGTTCTCCCTGTTCTTTCAGTTTTTATTTCACATGTTTTGAAGTTTCTTTATATTGGATGTTTTCATGTTTAAAATCTTTCTGATGGATTGAATATTTATTTACCTTATCGATCATCAAGTCTTTTTACTAAAAGTATCTTTCATTCGATGTTAATAAATGTATAACAGCTCCCCTATGGTTAGTTTTTGCCTGGTGTGTAACTTCATTTCTGTGTCCTTGTGCTTTACATAATCTCTCTCTAAATAGCATATAACTAGCTGAAATTTCTTTGTTTTGGTTTCAACCCAATGACAGGCTCCCATTTGATGAGTTTTATTTATTTACATTTACTGTGTTTGTTAATATTTGGACTTGTTTCTCAGTCATAGTTTTTTATCCTATGGCTGTTTCTTGTTTCCTTCTTATTCTTTTTTTTTTTTTTTTTTTTTTTTCGAGAAAGAGTCTCGCTCTGTCACCCAGGCTGGAGTACAGTGGTGCGATCTCGGGTCACTGCAACCTCTGCCTCCCAGGTTCAAGTGATTCTTCTGCCTCAGCCTCCTGAGTAGCTGGGATTACAGGGACCCGCCACCACGCCCGGCTAATTTTTTACTTTTAGTAGAAATGGGTTTTCACCATGTTGGCCAGGCTGGTCCTGAGCTCCTGCCCTCAAGTGGTTCACCTGCCTTGGCCTCCCAAAGTGCTGGGATTATAGGCATGGGCCACGACTCCCAGCCTCTTTCTTACTCTTCTTTTAAACTTCTGAAAAGGTTTTTTGGCTTTACTGATTTTTTTTTTTTTTTTTTTGGTGTGTTCATATTAATTCTCTTGTAGCCTTTTTTTTCTCTCTACTGAGTTTGGTATGCACTCAATTTCTCTTTTAGTGGTTAGTGATTCCTTAAATGGTACCACACTTCTAAAAAATTGATATATCATACTTCTATATATTTTTTAGTTACATGTGATATGTCTTTAATTCTTAAAAGTAACCATCTTGATTTTCCTCCAGAACAGTGGAAATACAACAATTCAGTGCTAATCTTTTCTATCTAGACTTAAATAAATATTATTGTCTTTTTTTTGTATTTTGTTTTTAACCTCACAAATCAGACACTAGAATACTATTATTTTATATAAATAATGTGGACATATATTTATCTACATGTTTACCTTTCTGTATTGTATTTCAACCCATTCTGCAATGATTTTCTTTCCTGAAGTACAATAAGAACTGTATTTATATCAGGTTTCTGAGTAGTGAACGCCTTCAGTTTTTGTTTATAAATGTCCTTTCCTGTTCATTTTTGAAGGATAGTTTGGTGGACATGCCTTTATAGATTAGTGGTTATTTTCTGTCAGCATTTTACAGATATTATCTACCTTATTCCAAATTTCATTTTAAGAAGTTTACTGCTGTTCTTAAATTCCTTTTTTTTTTTTTTTTTTTTGAGACGGAGTCTGGCTCTGTTGCCCAGGCTGGAGTGCAGTGGTGCGATCTCGGCTCACTGCAAGCTCCGCCTCCCGGGTTCACGCCATTCTCCTGCCTCAGCCTCCCGAGTAGCTGGGATTACAGGCGCGCACCACCAAGCCCGGCTGATTTTTCTATTTTTAGTAGAGACGATGTTTCACCGTGTTAGCCAGGATGGTCTCGATCTCCTGACCTTGTGATCTGCCTGCCTCGGCCTCCCAGAGTGCTGCGATTACAGGCATGAGCCACCTTGCCCAGCCTCTTTCATTCCTTTTTATGTGATCGTTCCCTTCCTCGTGGATGCTTTCAAGTTATTCTCTTTGTCTTTGATAAACACTCTTACTATGCTGGGTCTATGCATGGATTTCTTTCTGTCCTCTTTGGAATACGTTCCACTTCTAGAGCTTTAGTTTTGTAGTTTTCATCAGTTGCTGCAAATGTACAACTGTCAGTTCTTTGAATATTGCCTTTTTTCCATTCTCATCATTTTCTCATTCTTGAGCTTCAGTCAGGTATTTGTTAGACCCTCATTCTGTCATTTATGTTTTTGCTAAACCTCTAAAAATATTTTGTCTTCTCTCTCATATTCTGAGAGTATAAATTGGGTAAATTGAGGGTAAATTGTTTGGCTATATAGTGTAGACCCTCTTTAATATTGTGAAACTACTGTTTAATCGATTTCATCAATTTTTATTCTACATTTCTAGATGTCCCATTTTCTTAAGTCTATTAATTCCTAATTATTTTGTCCTTATTTTTGTAATTACATTATTTCCTTAAACATTTTGTACATAGCAATTCTGTATTCTGTATATCTGATAGCTTCAGTACTTCTAGGTCTCCATCTGTTATTTCTAGTCTCTAATGATTCTCTCTTGTAGTGGCATAACTTCTCATTTGTTGGGTAATCTTTCTGAAGTAGTAATGCCAGATTTTAATTTGTAGGAATCCAGTGGGATTAATTTGAGGGAAATCCTTTCTTTTTGTTTATGCTTCCGCCAGGAGGCAGAGGGTGTACCCACATCAAAGATTGTATAGCTTTGTGAAAGCAATTCAAAATGTAGAATTTCTGGATCCTGTAGTTTTATGTATATTAACATTTTGCTAGATATTGTTAGATTTTCTAAGATTATGCTGATTCAGCCCCATCAGCAGCATTTGAAAGTGCTTTTTGCTTTTTCCCCCTGCATAGTCCCATTACCATATTACAATATTTTGCCATTTTCATAGACAAATATGTTCAGTGGTTTAATTTGCATTTTTAAAAATATTAATATTTTAGCATCTACTTAAGGTTAGTGGACTGAATTACCTTTTAATTTCCTTTGCTCATTTTTCTCTTGGTGGTATTTGTCTTTTTCTTATTGATGTGTAATTGCTGTTTTCATATGAAGAAGAGCAACCTTTTGTCATGGCTTCCAAATATTTTTTCCAGGTTGGTCTTTTATATATATATAAATTTTTATTTACATTTTAATCCTTTGTGTACTCAGTTTTTTGAAAGATTGTAACCTTCTGGTTGTGGACAGATTTCCTGAAACTGCTAGGCTATTAAATCATAATATTTTTAGCCAATGTAAATTAAAATCAGTGAAAAAAAAAGTCATGAGAAGAGGCAAAGGAAGTCAGTATGATTTGTAGATTTGGGTTTTCTTTCTTAGACATTCTTCATATCATTTATCATAAACTTTCTCAGTTTTTTGGGGGAAATAATCTAGTCTCAAACATAAAATGCAGTTTTAGTATGGTAGAAGACCCATTTTTACAGACTTTATTCTATTTATGCAGAGAAGGTAGATACATTGTATTCTTTTATCCTCTATAAATGAACAAAACTTGTTTTGTTAGTCTTAGAAGAAAATTCTAAGATCTTAAGTGTTACCTTCTTCGTAGTGTGATATTTAAATGCTTACAATTGTGGATTTTTTATACTGCACAGAAAGCTACAGTTTATATAGAAACAGGACTTGTGAGGGAGGCCCAAACGATTCTTCTCTGTTTTTGTAGGACAAATGAAAAGAACTAAATGTGCTGACATTGACGTTGAGACACCGGACTCCATTCTGGTTAATACAAATCTGCGAGCACTGATCAACAAGCACACATTTTCAGTCCTTCCTGGAGATTGCCAGCAACGACTGCTTTTACTACTCCCAGAGGTAGATCGACAGGTGCGTCATTGAACTCCTTAAGATTTTAAAAATAGCTGTTTATGTATACTTGTAAAGTGGTATTAATGGTACTAAGTGAGAAGTAAGAATATTTTTACATAAGTTTCTTAATAGGCAGGTTTTTTTAAGGCTTAGGAAAAAAAAATTCTCCTACCAGAATTTCAAGATGACAGAATTATTTTGACTGTATTAGGATGTAAGCATCCATAGAATGAAGGTGAGGAGGAAGCCAGACATGGTGGCTCACACCTGTAATCCCAGCACTTTGGGCAGCCAAGGAGGGCAGATCACCTGAGGTCAGGAGTTCAAGACCAGCCTGGCCAACATGGCAAAACCCTGTCTCTACTAAAAATACAAAAATTAGCCAGGCGTGGTGGTGGGCGCCTGTAATCCCAGCTACTCGGGAGGCTGAGCCAGGAGAATCGCTTGAACCTGGGAGGCAGAGATTGCAGTGAGCCAAGATAGTGCCACTGGACGCCAGCCTGAGTGACAGAGTGAAACTCCATCTCAAAAAAAAAAAGAATACATAAACTTCAGGAGGAAGAGTTGTCTTGGTCCAGTATCAACAGGATGTGGGCCAGTGCTTCAGTGGAGTGGGAAATGTCAGGAATAAGCCAAAAACATGGGTCCAGATAAATAAATAGATCTGGAAAGACAATACAACATGGTATGAACAGTGGTGGACTTGGGAATGTTTGCAGTTTGCATTCTTTTGTTACATTTTGCTAAGAGAAACATTTATTACTTTCATAGTAAAGAACTTAAAACCCAATGTAAATTATACTTAAAAAAAAAAAAAAACAAAAGTAGCAAAAAGAAATGCCAAAGGTTTGGCAAGCGTCAAGGCAGGGACCAGAGAGCTTTAGTGATTTACCTTGGTCAGGAATAAAGAAAAGGTCTGAGACTTTGGCTTTCATCAAGGAAAACAGTGTACCCAGTCACTCCCCCTTCTGATCTTCTGTTTCCTCCCTCTGTAAAAGGAAGATAGAACAATTACAATTTTTTAAGCTTTCTTCACTTCTGAGATTTTTAAAAATCTCAGCTGTGTTCTAAGTAATGTGATAGGTCTCCCCAACCCCCAACTTTTAAGAATGTTTATTAAAATGATGAGAGGGAGATGTTTTCCTTAGTTTACACAGTAAAAGAACTGGTTATACTCTCTTGTTCGTAGTAAGAGGATAACAGAGAATGAGTAAGCTACAGAATTCATTATTAGCTAATTGACTTACTGAAATAAAACTAAATCTTTCTAATTCTGAAAATAATCTTTCTACTAGACTGCATTGATATCAGTTTCATAGTGTTGTGAATCAGAACATGTCAAAGGAGTTCAGAGTCCATTGTCCAGAGAGCCCAAATAAATGAGGTATTCTTACAGCAGTGGGGACAAAGAAGTAAAACCGGTCCTTCTTGGTAACTGCTCTCCCTACATAACTCTTGGAGAAATTATAGCTTTGAGGATGCCAGTTCTTGGTTAGAACAAGTTAGGAGACTGAAGTTTCAGCAGTTTTAAGAGAACCTCTTGGAGATTGCTCTCATCTTTTTTTTTTTTTTTTTTTTGTTAAAGACTCAGGGTTGTTAGGCTGGGAATACTAGTACAGGATGTAACTGAGGGCCTGTTTATGGAATTCTAATGCTGGTTCCTCAGAACTATCTTTTGACTAATGTTCTTTATCAAGTTCTAAATCTGGAGGATTGCCACATACAATTTTAGAATTAAAAGGGATCTTAGAGGTTATCTAGTTCATTTTCCCATAGAGTGCAATCCTGGGGGGTATTCTTTTTTTTTTTTTTTTTTTTTTTTTTTGAGATGGAGTCTCCCTCTGTCGCCTGAGCTGGAGTGCATTGGCTCGATCTCGGCTCACTGCAACCTCCGCCTCCTGGGTTCAAGGAATTCTCCTGCCTCAGCCTCCTGAGTGGCTGGGATTACAGGCGTGTGCCACCATGCCCGGCTAGTTTTTGTGTGTGTGTGTGTGTTTTCTTTTTCTTTCTTTTTTTTTTTTTTTTAGTAGAGACGGGGTTTCACCATGTTAGCCAGGGTGCTTTCGATCTCCTGACCTCGTGATCCACCTGCCTCGGCCTCCCAAAGTGCTGGGATTACAGATGTGAGCCACCGCGCCCAGCCAGGGTATTCTTAATAGGAGGTTACTTGGCTAGTCTTTTCCAGTTGTTAACATGGTTGGAGCCCACAGTAATCTGAGTAACATTGTCCTTATGTGTAGAGAATATAGAATTTCGATTAAGTGGAATACAAACTACTGTCAGATGAAATTTAGAGTGTTTAAAGAATGAAAAGTTGGAAGCCATACTTGACTGTGTGGAGTATCCAGCAATGAGTAGAAAAATATTTAGACCAGAGAAAAACATAGGTTTGGATCAAAACCCTCTCCTTCAATATATTAGAAGGCCCATGATATGGAAGAGGTATACTTTGTTATACAGAAAGCAGATTTGGGGTTAAAAAAGCTTTTTCACAGTTGGAGGATTAAACTGCAGAATAGATTGGCTTATAGTGGAGTAACTTGCTTATCACTGTAATACTCAAGTAGAGACTGGATAAACTGCTCTTATATAGAACACTATTACCCTCGTACCAGTTCTCTAGAGTATGAATCAGCAGTCAGCAAACTACAGCCCACTAGGCAATTTCCAGCTGACTGCCTAATTAATAAAGTTTTGTTGACTTAAAGCCACTCCTGTTAGTTTTCGTATTGTCCGTAACTACTTTTGTGCTACAGTGGCAGAGTTGAGTAGCTGAAATCAAGCCATATGGCCTGCAAAGTTAAAGTATTTGTGGTCTAGCCCTTTACAGAAGGTTTACCAATTTCTGCTGTAGAGCCAGGGGGAAATGATGTCAACCCACATACGTTTGGAAAGTAAAGTGGGTTAAGAAGAGTTCCTCAATCTCAAGGATGTCCAAATCATTTTCTTAATTTTCTTCAAAAAACTGTTTTTGACTTAAAATTTACATTTAGATTTTTAGTCCATCCTTCTTTTTTTTTTTTCTTTTTTTTTTCTTTTTTTTTTTGTCATTATCTGAATCTGGGATTCAGCTTTATTTTCTACTGGGTGGATAGCCAGTTGTTCCAGCACTATATGTGTGGTTCTGTGAGTAGATTTTTAATTATTAGGGAATGGATGTGAATGGAGAGAAAGGAGTGAGGAGAGGTAAACAGGAAAGCAATGTTTTAGAACAAAGTGATATTACATTAAATAACAGAGTTGGATAAGCACATAGTATGAGATAGTTATATTTCTATTAAAATAAATATATATACATTCTTTTATAAAATGAAAGGAAGGTCAAATACGACGTGATACCTTTCACTTTCTTTGTAAGCTTTCCTTGGCTTATTCTTTGACCCAGGTTGGTCCAGATGGTTTAATGAAGTTAAATGGCTCAGCCCTTAACAATGAATTCTTCACTTCAGCAGCCCAAGGCTGGAAGGAAAGACTCTCAGAAGGTAAGTGCTCTACTTAATGTGTCTCCCAGGTGGTGTGTGCACTCAGAGCACCTCTCTTCCTCATCAGGTAATTACGCAGTTTTGGAAGGTAAAGGACAGGATGTTTCCATAGGATAGAATTAACCATCATGTGTGGAACACGTTGTTAAACTTTTATCTAGAGCCTATGTTACCAGGTTAACACCACATGGAATCTAGCAATATGTTTCTTTAATGATATAAAGCTTCCAAGAAATTAAAAAATACAGATTTTTGGGCCCTGCTCCTAAAGATTCTGATTCAGCAATTCTACATTAATGCCTAGGAATTGAAATTGTATTAGGCTCCCTAATAAAAGTATAGAATTAGTCACTTTATGGTGCTCTGCATCCCAGTTTGGTAAGCAGTGAGATAATCTGTTTATTACTGCCTAGCCTCAATAAAACTAACAGTAAAAGCAATCAGTGAGAGCTTTTTAAAAGATCACTTCATTAAGGTATATTTCATATAATATAAAATTCAGCCATTTGAAATGGACAGTTAATTGGCAGTCAGAACATTGTAGTAAGTATGGATCATGACCAAGAATTACTGACTGTGATCACTGGTCTGCCATGTGTGCCATGCTTCTAGTGACTGATTGTGTGTGGGCACTGCATATAGTATCTGTCAGTACTAGCAGTTCTTCACCTCTACAGCTGAAAAACACCTGTGGTGTTTTTAAAAATACTGATGTGCAAACACCAGTGTCAATGATTTTGTTTTTATTGCTCTGGGTTAGTGTCAGAGCTTTATTGGTTTTGTTTGTTTGTTTCAAAGTTTTCCCAAACGATTCTAATATGCAGACATAAGTAAAACCACTGGCTGAATTATTTTTATTACATCTGTTTTTCAGTATACATGGAATAAAAAATAGCACTTGAAAAGTCGTATACCAAAGAATAGCCTAAAACAAGTATGAGAGACTTTAAAATATATACATTTGTAAGGAACGCATTAGGAATGCTCTTCATTGTTTATTTTCTGTCAGATCCCTACCAGTTAAAGTGAACAGCTAATATATAATCTAGATTGTTTCTTGAAATTGTTGACTTTTCCCATCCTCTTCTTTTAGAAGAAATTCTATGTAGAAGGGATCTCTTGCTCTGATTACTTTGTCCTTTCTCTTTCCTACAGATATTTTTGGGCAGAGACCCCTTTTTTTTTTTCTCAGAAAGATTAAAACATACCAGTTCTACCGGTACCTTTCTTTAAGAATAAATTGGTAAAGGATTTACTTCCTCAGCCCCCACTTTTTTGTAACTAGGTACTGTCAGCAATGATACTGCGATTATTATTATCAGTGTTACTTTTTTTTTTAACATGCAAGCAAGTGACTGCTGTACCTATAGTCATGTGATCATATTTTATGAACAACAACTTGGAACACTGTATATATGTGAACAGAGTCCAGTACATTTTATTCCTCATTTTCAGATACACAGTAGACTCAATAGCAGGAGTTCTGGGTTGGATTCTGACAGCCAAATCTCTCTTTTCCCAATCCTTTGCCCACGACTGTGATGTCCACGGTCCTCTAACACTTTTCCTCTCCTTCTTCTCACCCCCAGGAGGTCTTAAACTTCAAATTCTGCCATTTCTACCTCTTATTCCTTGATGTCCTGGGTATTAGAGTATAAAAGAGAGCAGTCTATCTGAGCCACAAGTTTGAAGATGGCCTACCAAGCACATTCACTGTTCTCTGCTGATGGAGTGGGAAGGATTGAGGTGGTTGGTAGTATATGCAAATAAATGGCATATTCAGAGCAGCTGGGTCTTTGGCATGTTGAGTATCTTCTTGCTAGAGCATTAGCCTGGTACAATTTGTGGAACAATTAGAAAACTGACAACTCCAGAATAACTCCCTACCTTTTTACTGGAATCTCGAATGCTAGGGCCATAGCTTTTCTTTATGCAGTTAGAGGTAAAAAGCCTAAAATTAACTTGCCTTGGAGAAACTGATCTTTAAAATAGTAAAAATGCCCAGTGGCATAGTTTATTGAAAGCACATCACTTTTTCTTTTAGTGGAAAATAAATTGGAAGTTCTAGGTAAGAGATAAAATAAATCTGTATGGAGTGTGATGCTTGGAGCGTGAGGAAGGTACCACAGGGAAGCCCAGCGAAAAGGCTTTGTCAGCCTCAGCTGAGTACTGAAAGCTACCTGGAGTGGTGTGCAAACATATTTTTATTTCACCTAATGGCATTTAGGTCCTCCTTTACAGTGAGGAGGTTTGAGGAGTTTCTGTTACTTTCACATGGTAGTATTCCAATTCCTGCGTGAGTCTTTCATGATTTATAAATAGTTACATGTTGCAAATAGCATTTTTCTATTGAATATCCTTTTTTGGGTACATTGCAGGTGAGTTTACACCTGAGATGCAGGTGAGAATTCGACAAGAGATTGAGAAGGAGAAAAAAGTGGAGCCATGGAAAGAACAATTCTTTGAAAGCTACTATGGGCAGAGGTAATATTAGGACAGGTTCTATAAACCAAATGTTAATTCCTACATATAAGTCATGTAGTGCTTTATCTCATTACCTTCTCAGAAAATCTAGGCCCCAGTTTCCTTCTGTTTTGTTTTATTTTGTTTTTTTTTTTGTCTCACTGATTCTTCTTTAGGAAGAAGTTTTTTTCTTATTATGAATCACGGGTTCACAGAATTAGATTACTCATCATACTTTACCCTTAAAACTGTCATTGTAGGTGAAATGGCTTCTTTAAAAACAAATTTTTTAGCTGGGCGCAGTGGCTCACACTATAACCCCAGCACTTTGGGAGGCCGAGGCGAACTCCTGAGGTCAGGAGTTCGAGACCAGCCTGACCAACATGGTGAAACCCCGTCTCTACTTAAAAAAATACAAAATTAGTTGGGCGTGGTGGTGCATGCCTGTGATCCCAGCTACTTGGGAGGCTGAGGCAGGAGAATCGCTTGAACCTGTGAGGCAGAGGTTGTGGTGAGCCAAGATGGTGCCATTGCACTCCAGCCTGGGCAAAAAGAGCAAAATTCCATCTCAAAAAAAAAAAAATACATTTCTAAAAAAACTTTGAATTAAGAGTCCCTTTCTTTGAAAAGATTGGTTTTTCTTCTGGTTACTTTATAAGATAGAAGAATATTGAAGTTCTTTAGTTCTTTTTTTTTTTTTTCTTTTTTTGAGACAGAGTTTCACTCTTGTCGCCCAGGCTGGAGTACAGTGGCGCAATCTCAGACTCACTGCAACCTGTGCCTTCTGGTTTCAAGCAATTCTGCCTCAGCCTCCTGAGTAGCTGGGATTACAGGCGTGTACCACCACACCTGGCAAATTTTGTATTTTTAGTGGAGTTGGGGTTTCACCATGTTGGCCAGGCTGGTCTCGAACTCCTGACTTCAGGTGATCTGCCCTCCTCGGCCTCCCAAAGTGCTGGGATTACAGGTATGAGCCACCACTCCGAGCCAGAATACTGAGGTTCTGTCCACTTTTTATAGTAGTTAATTATCCCAAAATGTAGCTATCCAGAATCACTAAGGAATCTTAGGAATTTTGTAATGTGGACTATTAGAACCAACCTGTAATTAAAGAGCCTCTCCTCTGTAAAAGGCACTCTGGGAGATGTACATAGCTGAATCAAGATATAAATTCTGTTTAAAAGAGGCTGTAGCCTAAATCAGTTTTTCCCCCCCAACAAAAGATCCAACAGTGAAATTATAATGGGACATTTAAATAGATGGTAATGGAGATGTTCTGTTTGAAATAGGATTGAACACTTGGACTCCTACTTGTTAGTCTCCCTTCCTTCCTTCTGCACACCAATGGCAGCCCTTAAGAAGACCCGTAACCACAGCTTGAAAACTAAGTTCTCCTTTTCCTTGTCTCCAAGTAGTATTTATCCATCTCCTTCACAGTCATTTAGGAAATATTCCTATTGAGATTAAGAGTTCCATAAACTGCGGCCAGTTGCGGTGGCTCACACCTGTAATCTCAGTGCTTTGGGAGGCTGAGGTGGGCGGATCACTTGAGCCCAGGAATTCGAGACCAACTTGGGCAACATGGCAAAACCACATCTCTAAAAAAAATACCAAAAAATTAGCTGGGTGTAGTGGTGCGTACCTGTAGACCCAGGCTCAGGTGGAAGAATCGTTTAAACCTGGGAGGCGGAGGTTGCAGTGACCAAGATTACGCCATTGCACTCCAGCCTGGGCGACGAAGTGAGACCTTGTCTCAAAAAAAAAAAGAGTTCTATAAACTGATTTTTCTATATTTTTGGTATGAGCATTGAGCTATAGAAGTGATGTTTGGTACATTTAGACCATTATTGCAGGTAGCAGTAATTCTACAAATATTTGTTCATTCCCTCCTTTTTTTTCTCTTTTTCTTTTTTTTTTTTCAAAGACAGGGTCCCACTCTGTCCCTCAGGCTGGAGTGCAGTGGCACAATCACGGTTCACTGTAGCCTTAATCTCCCGGGCTTAGGCAGTCCTTCCACCTCAGCCTCCTGAGTAGCTGGGACTCCAGGTGCATGCCACCACACCCAGCTAATTATTGTATTTTTTGTAGGAGTGGGGTTTTGCCCTGTTGCACAGGCTGGTTTCAAACCCCTGTGCTCAAGCGATCTGCCCACCTCCCAAAGTGCTGGGATTACAGGCATGAGCCACTGTGCCTGGCCCATTCCCTCCTTCTTAAGCAGATAGAGGATTACAACAGTTCGTGGGTCTTTCTATTTTCAACTATTACTTTTTGTCAGCTTTTATAGAAAGACTGTTTTTGATTATTGCCCAGTTTTGTCCCTAACCATTCCATCTCAGAAGCACAGTACTGACTCTTTGAAGTCACCAAAGAAGGCTCATTGATTTTACATGTTGTACAGTATTCTAAAACATTAAGAAGAGTCACTAATGACCTTTACAGATTAGCCTAGCTTTTAGCCAAGCCACATTATGGATATCTCAATGGAACTATACCCTCAGAATAGCTTAGAGACACTCGATCTCAGAATTTTAGAGCTAAACCAAGTGGGATTTAAATGGGCTTTCCAAAACTCAGCTATAATTCTCAGCCTCTATAGAACATTGACAGCCAGCTGTCTCCTCAGGTCCTCTTAGATTTTTTGGGCCTGGGTTTGCACAGATATTGCAGAGAAGAGTTGACCACAATCACAGGGTGGAAGGGTCTTGGGCTTCCTTCAGTTCCCTTGCAGGTAGTCTGTGATGCATGCGTCCAGACAATGTGGCCCCTCTATAAGCAGAAGTAATAATAACTACTATTACTGAACTTTCATTATGTGTTAGGCAAGTACTTTATATGGATTAACTTAATTATCATAGCAACACTATGAAGTAATTAAACCTAGTGTACAATTGAAGAAACTGAAGTAAAGAAGGCTAGTCATTTACTTAATATCACACGGACGGTAGGTATCAGAGCCAGAATTTGAATCCAGGCACTCTGACTCCAGAACTTTCACTACTACTAATAGTGAAGATAATACATGAATACCTGCTGTGTCAGGGGTTCTCCTAGGCATTGTCATCTTCCATTATCTCTATTAATGAATGCTTTCGCAACATGGGCTATTTTTCAACTGGAATATTTCTTTTTTCCCCTTTTTAGTTCTGGCCTGAGCCTTGAAGATTCTAAGAAATTGACAGCTTCTCCCAGTGATCCCAAAGTAAAGAAAACCCCAGCTGAACAACCAAAATCCATGCCTGTGTCAGAGGCCTCTCTTATCAGAATAGTTCCAGTAGTCTCCCAGTCAGAGTGTAAAGAAGAAGCATTGCAAATGTCATCACCAGGCAGAAAAGAAGAGTGTGAAAGCCAAGGTGAAGTGCAGCCGAACTTCTCCACATCTTCAGAGCCCCTGCTTTCCTCAGCTCTCAATACACATGAGCTTAGCAGCATTCTTCCCATCAAGTGCCCAAAGGATGAGGATCTCTTGGAGCAGAAGCCAGTCACCTCTGCTGAACAGGAATCTGAGAAGAACCATCTCACCACAGCTTCTAATTATAACAAAAGTGAAAGCCAAGAATCTTTAGTTACATCGCCAAGCAAACCCAAGAGTCCTGGGGTTGAAAAACCAATAGTGAAGCCCACAGCAGGAGCGGGTCCACAGGAGACTAATATGAAAGAACCTCTAGCAACTCTTGTTGATCAGAGCCCAGAAAGCCTCAAGAGGAAGTCTTCCCTCACCCAAGAAGAGGCCCCTGTGAGCTGGGAGAAGAGGCCACGTGTCACTGAGAATCGCCAGCACCAGCAGCCATTTCAGGTCTCACCACAGCCCTTTCTCAATAGAGGGGACAGAATCCAGGTGCGAAAAGTACCACCTCTCAAGGTAAGAGAATGGAGAGAATTAGAAAAGCAGAGATCGTCTGAACCCTATGTTTTTGGTCATACCTACTAAATTTCAAGTAAATTGTGGTAGTTCTTAATGCAGAAGCAGTTGGATATATTTGATAAATATGTAACTATGGTCTTACACAAATAAAATGATAGATGGGCATTTAGAACTGCAGTCCTACATACAGGTCTTTACTGATGTTTGCATAAGGAAGGTACCTGGGCATCTAATGTAAACCACCCCTGTGCTCACTACTTGAGCTCAGAGGCACCTGATCTCAGACTCTTAGACCAAATATAATTTAAATGGACTTCCAAAAACTTAGTTATAATTCTCAGCCTCTGTAGAACATTGACAGCCAACTGTCCTACTGTCTCCTCAGGACCTCTTAGATTTTTTGGGCCAGGGTTCACGCAGATATTGCAGAGAAGAGTTGATCACAATCCCAGGGTGGAAGAGTCTTGGGCTTCCTTCGGTTCCCCTACAGGTAGTCTGTAATGCATGCTTCCAGACCATCATGAAAATTATTGACAAAATAAGAAATGTGAGACTAAGCATGAGGAGACTATTGGTGTAATCAAAGGATCCTATCTTTGTACCAAGAGCCATGGTATTTGAGTTTACCCTTTTCTTGCTACCATAACTGACTTGATGTTCTGTGAATCAGGAACTACCTTTAGCTCCCTCCTATTAAAGGAAATATGTGTAGCTGTCTTCTGTCACTACTGGTTACTTGAGGGACACTAGTAACATGGAATAGTCTTGGTAAGCTCTGCTGCTTAGCATGTGATTAACTTCCAGTTAGCCTTGTATTGCTGCATGTCAAATCTTTCAAATTCTTCTAGGTAGTATCTTTGACTGTCTTAATATACAATGCCTTTTAAAACCCAAACACATTTTTACTTCTGATCTTAAAGGTTTATTAATACTTGGGCTTGTGCTTAATATCAGCTTGCAGTTCATTCATTTAATAAATAGTGTTTATTTTTCTTACCAAGGAATTTAAGAGGCAACGCACTGAATATTACTCATTAGGATATAAATGGAAAAATAAGACTAGTAAAAGTACTTTTTCCCCCTTTTTATTTAACTGAGGTGAACCAAAATTAGTTCTGTCAGGAAGTATTCCTTGGAAAGATTCACTTACCAGAACTTGACCCATTCTCATTGTATTTTTTTTTTTTTTAACGGAGTCTCGTTCTGTTGTCCAGGCTGGAGTGCAGTGGCACAATCTTGGCTCACTGCAGTCTCCACCTCCCAGGTTCAAGCGATTCTCCTGCCTCAGCCTCCTGAGTAGCTGGGATTACAGGCATGCACCACCATACCTGGCTAATTTTTGTAATTTTATTTTTTAGTAGAGATGGGGTTTCACCATGTTGGCCAGGCTGGTCCCAAACTCCTGACCTCAAGTCATCTGCCCTCCTCTGCCTCCCAAAGTGCTGGGATTACAGGCGTGGGCCACCGTCTGTACTTCCTATTACTTTTTTATTCATTGCTTGTTTTTTGCCCCCCAAGATGGAGTCTTGCACTGTCGTCCAGGCTGGAATGCAGTGATGCAATCTTGGCTCACTGCAGCCTCCACCTCCCGGATTCAAGGGATTCTCCTGTCTCAGCCTCCCAAGTAGCTAGGATTATAGGCATTAAGCCACGACGCCTGGCTAATTTTTGTATGTTTACAAATAATTATTTGTAAAGGGGTCTCACCGTGTTGGCCAGGCTGGTCTTGAACTCCTGACTTCAAGATCCACCTGCCTCGGCCTCCCAAAGTGCTAGGGTTATAGGTGTGAGCCACCACGCCTGGCCAATTCATTGCTCTTTAAAATTGGTGATTTTAGCACTTACGAATCTATGGGGGTTTTTTCTTATTTTTTTTTCTACCATTAACATGCATCGCCAGAGATTCTGATTTTTATTATAATCACTTTTACTATTCTTTCTTATAAAAATATTAGAAACTTTTCTTCAATGTCATTCACAGCTTATCTCCAGACCTGAGAGCTGAGTAACTGTTTAGGTTTTGCTATAAATGTTGCTAAGACCCATCATTTCTATTTTCTCACCTGTAAACAGGCTGGGTTACATCATATTCTGTCTGCTTTCTGCTAGTCCAAAGGGATTACACAGAAACTTTAATCCACTGTGACCAAGTTAATATAATTTTACTTTTTTCAGTTCTTTTCCTTTCTTCTCCCTCATCTCCCTCAAAAAAGACTTCTCCAGAAGTGTCTTTAGTAACTCTCTTCTCTTAGACCCTATCTCAAATACTGCTTTCTTAGACAAAGTTTAATGTAATTTATAACAGAACAAAACCTTTTAAACAAAATTTAAGTAGAAAACAAAATTCACAATGTAGTAGTAGAAAACAAAATTCACAATGTAGTATAAATGTTATAACTTAGTTACAACTTTTATATATATACAAATGTATATAAAAACTATATATACACACATGCACATTATATGTTTTACATTCCCTATACAGTCAGCCCTCTGTATCAGCAAGTTCCACATCCTCAAGGTTAATGCAGTATTTTCAACCAACCACCTATCGCAATATTTGGAAAAGAAAATTAAATACAAATGTAAAAATACAGTATAACAATTTATATAGCATTTACATTATGTTAGGTGTTATAAATAATCTAGAGATGACTTAAAATATATGGGAAGATATGTGGAGGTTATCTGCAAATACTACGCCATTTTATATAAAGGACTTGAGCATCCTCAGATTTTGATATCCTCTGGGGTCCTAGAACCAATCCCCCATGGATACCAAGGGATGACTGTACACTTAAAAAGAAAAGGATTGAATCTCTCTGCTCTCCCGGGGTAGGGCTTCTCAGTAAATTAAATTGTTATCAATGCCTGGACAGCTTTGGTTTTGTACTTAAAAAGAAATATGATTTATTTTGCATAATCAGGTAATAGGGCTATTTACGTAAGTAACTGAAACTTATTTTTAGGTATCGAAACCTTTCATTTTAACCACTTATAATGGTTGTTCTTATTTGATTTCAACATGTTATTAATGATTGTGTTATTATGATAGATATGATGTATTATGTTAGGTATAGAGTTACTCTCACGAGTATTCTTATGTAAAGTTGTTTGTCCCTATATAAATTCCCCTAAACACCTTTCTTGTATTTACTTTTTTAGTTTTATCTTTTTTTTTTTTTTCATTTTTTCCCCTGCAGTTTCTTTCATATGATATAAATAAGGGACAATAACTGCTTCTTTCTTACTGTAGGCAGCCTCTAAAATGCTATGTGATGAGTAAATATACTATCTAGGCTTGTTCGAATTGGATGTGAAATAGATTTAGCTCTTAGAGAGATTAAATAGGTTTCCTGATGTAAAATATATACTCTGTGACACCTGTTATGAAGTCCCATGGCTCTAACTTCGGAATTAGAGAATCAGTTTTTGAGGACTACTGACCTTTTGAGAAATGAGTATTGCAAATAATGAAAAATGTTTAGTGACTTTATTATTCTTAATTTAAAAACATTAAGAAAAATGGCATGCATTTTCTTAGGGTTTAGTGGGTTAATTTTTTTTTAATTAAATGCTTTAGAACATCTTAACAGTTATTTGCTCCTTTAAACTCAACCAGTTACTAGAAGAGTCCACATCTTGTTGAATTATTAGTAACTCTAATAGCTTTCAAAGTATTGTTCAGGACAGAAGGCAGATTTGTTTCAGACATGATGATTTTATGGTATGAAAATCATTGGTTTCAGCCAGGCGTGGTGGCTCACGCCTGTAATCCCAGCACTTTGGGAGGCCGAGGTGGGTGGATCACTTGAAGTCAGGAGTTCGAGACCATCCTGGCCAACATGGTGAAACCCCATCTTTACTAAAAATACAAAAAAATTAGCTGGGTGTGGTGGCAGGCACCTGTAATCCCAGCTACTCGGGAGGCTGAGCCACAAGAATCACTTGAACCCAGGAGGCAGAGGTTACAGTGAGCTGAGATTCTGCCACTGCACTCCAGCCTGGGTGACAGAGTGAGACTGTCTCAAAAAAAAAAAAAAAAAAAAAAGAAGGAAATCAATGGTTTCAAACCTGATAGACATCAGAATCTCACAAGTAGCTTTTTAGAAACTTTTTTTTTTTTTTTTTTTGAGCTGGAGGCTCCCTCTGGAGTCACTGTGTTGGCCAGGCTTTTTCAGGCTGGGTGCTGTGGCTCATGCCTGTAATCCCAGCACTTTGGGAGGCCGAGGCAGGTATATCACAAGAGGTCAGGAGTTCAAGACTAGCCTAGCCAACATGGTGAAACCCCATCTCTACTAAAAATACAAAAGTTAGCCAGACGTGGTGACCCACACCTGTAATCCCAGCTACTCGGGTGGCAGACGCACAAGAATCACTTGAACCCAGGAGACTGAGGTTGCAGTGAGCCGAGATCACACCACTACACTCCAGCCTGGGAGACAGAGCAAGACCCTATCTAAAAAAAAAAAAAAAGACTTCCTAGGGTCTTGGGGGTTCTGATTTGTAATTTTTTGGGATAGGACCCAGAGCATATATATTTTAAAATTGCGCAAGTAAATATAATACCAGCCAGAGATGAGAATGGCTGGCAAACATTATGTACATACTCCTTTATGTGTATGGGCATGGTGGGGGCTCCTATAGATCACACATTGTCTTCCTTCCAGTGCTGTCTAGAAGCCTGTGTAATTTGAGATAATCCAGCCCAAGTGTGTGTGTGTGTGTGTGTGTGTGTGTGTGTGTGTGTGTGTGTGGAACAGAGAAGAGCAAGTATTTTCCCCTGGACCTTGGTAGTAAAGCTAAGAACTAAAAGACAGTAGTGGTATGGGTGGCTGGCTTGCTTGCTTTTCTCTTCTTTCTCAAACATAAATACACTTTTTAAAAATGCAAATACCATAGAAAACTTTGTATCATAATAAGCACTTGTAATAGTGGCATTAGGAGGGAGTTGAGATAGGAAAAGAGGTGTGGGGATTTGGGGTGAGAGTGGAAGCAGTCGTCTTTGGCACCAATAGAAAAAGTGGATGCAAGGACCCTAGAGACAAACTAGTATTGCTGTCTCCAAGGTTTGGCCTCTCGGCCATAGACCACCCATGTTTGTCACAGGTACTGTAGTGTTCATCTGTTTTTAAAATGTGAGGGCTAATGAAGTTTTGTTATTCTTACAAATGAAAACTAAGCTCTGTTGTTTTTTTCCCCTCTACTTCTTTCAGATCCCGGTCTCCAGAATCTCCCCCATGCCGTTTCATCCATCGCAGGTCTCTCCCAGGGCTCGTTTTCCAGTCTCCATCACTAGTCCTAACAGAACAGGAGCCAGAACTCTTGCAGACATCAAAGCAAAAGCCCAACTGGTCAAAGCACAGAGGGCAGCAGCTGCCGCTGCCGCCGCAGCTGCTGCAGCCGCCTCAGTTGGAGGGACCATTCCAGGACCTGGCCCAGGGGGTGGACAAGGTCCAGGAGAGGGTGGTGAAGGGCAGACTGCTAGAGGAGGCAGTCCAGGCTCAGACAGAGTCAGTGAAACTGGAAAGGGCCCCACACTGGAACTGGCAGGAACTGGAAGCAGGGGAGGTACGAGAGAGCTTTTACCCTGTGGTCCAGAGACTCAGCCCCAGTCTGAGACCAAGACCACCCCAAGCCAGGCACAGCCTCATAGTGTCTCTGGAGCACAACTACAGCAAACCCCCCCAGTGCCTCCAACACCTGCCGTCAGTGGAGCATGCACAAGTGTCCCATCACCAGCCCACATAGAGAAATTGGATAATGAAAAACTGAACCCCACCAGAGCAACAGCCACAGTGGCCTCTGTCAGCCATCCACAAGGGCCCAGTAGTTGCAGACAGGAGAAAGCACCTTCTCCAACAGGTCCTGCTCTAATCTCAGGTGCCTCACCTGTTCATTGTGCAGCTGATGGCACAGTTGAGCTCAAAGCAGGTCCTAGTAAGAATATACCTAACCCTTCAGCCTCATCAAAGACAGATGCTAGTGTGCCAGTGGCTGTAACTCCCTCCCCTTTAACATCTTTATTGACCACAGCCACTTTAGAAAAGCTTCCTGTACCCCAGGTCAGTGCAACTACAGCACCTGCTGGATCAGCTCCACCCTCGAGCACTTTGCCAGCAGCTTCTAGCCTTAAAACCCCAGGAACTTCTTTAAACATGAATGGACCCACTTTAAGACCAACCTCTAGTATCCCTGCTAATAATCCTTTAGTGACTCAGCTGCTTCAAGGCAAAGATGTTCCCATGGAGCAAATTCTGCCTAAACCTCTCACCAAAGTTGAAATGAAAACGGTTCCACTGACTGCAAAAGAGGAAAGGGGGATGGGAGCGCTCATAGCTACCAACACAACAGAAAATAGCACCAGAGAGGAAGTTAATGAGAGACAGTCCCATCCAGCTACGCAGCAGCAGCTGGGCAAAACCTTGCAAAGTAAGCAGCTCCCCCAGGTTCCAAGGCCCCTTCAGCTCTTTTCAGCTAAGGAGCTGAGGGACTCCAGCATTGACACACACCAATACCACGAAGGACTAAGTAAAGCAACCCAAGATCAGATCCTTCAGACTCTCATTCAGAGGGTTCGGAGGCAGAATCTTCTCTCAGTTGTGCCGCCCTCACAGTTCAACTTCGCTCACTCAGGTTTCCAGCTGGAAGACATCTCCACAAGCCAGAGGTTCATGCTGGGTTTTGCTGGCAGAAGGACATCCAAACCTGCAATGGCAGGGCACTACTTACTGAATATTTCTACCTACGGCCGGGGCTCAGAGAGCTTTAGGAGGACCCATTCTGTAAACCCTGAAGATCGTTTTTGTCTAAGCAGCCCCACTGAAGCCTTGAAAATGGGATATACAGACTGTAAAAATGCAACAGGAGAGAGTAGCAGCAGCAAAGAAGATGACACTGATGAGGAAAGTACTGGTGATGAGCAGGAATCTGTCACAGTGAAAGAGGAGCCCCAGGTTTCCCAGAGTGCTGGCAAGGGTGACACAAGTTCAGGACCTCACAGCAGGGAAACTCTATCTACCAGTGATTGCTTAGCTAGCAAGAATGTGAAGGCTGAGATACCATTGAATGAGCAAACCACTTTAAGTAAGGAGAATTACCTGTTCACTAGAGGCCAAACATTTGATGAAAAGACCCTAGCCAGAGATTTAATTCAGGCAGCACAGAAGCAGATGGCTCATGCAGTGAGAGGTAAGGCAATCCGTAGCAGCCCCGAGCTTTTCAGTTCTACTGTTCTTCCTCTGCCTGCAGACAGCCCCACCCACCAGCCCCTACTCCTTCCACCCCTGCAAACCCCGAAGTTGTATGGAAGCCCCACCCAGATAGGGCCAAGCTATAGAGGCATGATCAATGTCTCCACCTCATCTGACATGGACCATAACTCTGCTGTACCAGGTAGCCAGGTATCTAGCAATGTAGGTGATGTCATGTCATTTTCAGTGACTGTCACTACCATCCCTGCTAGCCAAGCTATGAATCCCAGCAGCCATGGCCAGACCATTCCTGTTCAGGCGTTCTCCGAAGAGAACAGCATAGAGGGCACGCCTTCGAAATGTTACTGCCGCTTGAAAGCCATGATCATGTGCAAAGGCTGTGGCGCTTTCTGCCATGATGATTGCATCGGCCCCTCCAAACTGTGCGTCTCCTGCCTTGTCGTTCGGTAATGAGACTAGAAAGAGATACACTGTAAAGGAGGGGGAAGGGAAGGGTTGACCAGTTGGGTTTTTTGCGTCCTTTTGGAATCACAGAAATAAACAAGTAGGTTTCAGTTGTCTTCAGAGACAAATGTTACTTAATCAGGAATACAAAGTACAGATTTTTTACATTTTAGAGGAAGAGCACCTTGTATAGTAAGTCTAAGTCAAGCAAGACTTTGTGAATTTGTGACAAGTTTGCACTTACAAAATCATGTAAATATGTCACATTTTGTTTAACATTATTTTTCCAAGTGTTTAGGTAATAATGTATTACTTTGAATTCAGATTAATGTTCTACTACTTGTGACTGAGAAAAGTTTAATGCCGGCATGGTAAAAGGAAGCTGTCTCCCTTCTGACATTTCCTAGGAAGCTAGGAAAAGGAAAGTGAAGGAATGGTCTAAAGAAATGACCATTCACACTGATTTTGTCTGGACAGTCTGGCCGCAGGTTATTCATAGATTATTCAGCCTTTGCAGGACTTGGATTCAGGGTTTTACTCAGTCCCTTTACCTTAGGTGGAATCTTCTTAAATTGAAATTTTTGGTAAGGAATTCATTTCACAGGTAGTGTTTCAGACTCTGAAAGCCCTGACTTGGTTCTTGGCTTCTACTGTACTAGTTACTAGTTACTGGTACTGTTGCCAAGCAATCTGCTTGGAATTTGTGGATCCCTGCTGTTCCCTAATCCCACCCCCTGCCCTGAGACAGTGAATGTAGTCCGTGAAGGGAGTGCCTCTCTGGGACCCCCTGTGTTGTTACAGGCTGTGCAGTGCAACAATTCCAGCAAAAATACCCTATCCCCGCACTTAGTCATTCGTGGTAACTAACAATTTTGAAATACTCATATAAAATGAACAGGAAAGTGTTAGTGATTGGGTGATTTGAGCTACATCTTGTTGAGCAAGGGGAGTGAAACCACAGAAACTGTTAAATTGAACGTAAATAACTTTGGAAAACAGTTTTGACACTAGAACAAGGTCGCTTCTCTTTTCCTCTTCTCTCCCAACCTGTTAACCTAGTGCTAGATAGTCAGCTGCTGTTGCAGGTAGAAAAGCTCACCAATGCCACATTTGTTCATTCTGTTCAACCTGTTTTGACCTCCCAGGCATCTGAACAGGATGACATCATCTTATTATATCTTACTTTACACATACGTGTATGTACACACACACACACAATACAAGACATTTTTCCTGTTTTAGAAAATATAGCCCTTGTTTGGATTACTGCTGTCTGAGCACTAGAAATTTCTAATGGAAAGAGGCCTCTGAATGGCTAAGGGAACATCTGGAAAGGAAGGAAAATGAGCCCTAAAGGTTTTTTGGTTGCTTGTTTTTGTTTCTTTTTCTTTCTTGTTTCCTTTTTTGTTTTTAAATCCTTCTCTAGTGACTGAAGAAATTGTGAGTACATAATATTTAGGTCATGGTTAAGGAACATTAAAATAAACCTGCAGTTTAACAGAATTTTGTATTAAATGGGGGAGTGTCAATTTGCATCATTTGCATATTGATTTCAAGTCTCCTAATTTGGAATGGGTAAAGTACAAATGTTAATGCAACATAGTACAGTTGTATTTGTCCTTCATATTCAGGATGTGATATTTACAAAATGCAGAACAGTTTAAACTTGTTAAGTCACATTCCAGATTAGGAGAAAATGGGCAATAATCATCTCTGTTTTGCCCCCATTCTACTACCCACCACTGCCCACCCCACCCCCACATCACACACTCTTCGATGCTTTCCCACAGCCCCTGCTCCGCTCCTCTCCGTAAGAAACTCACTTCACTGTTTTTCACTTTTCACTTCTGGCTTTTTTGTGGCCCAAGGCCAATATAGGATTAATATCTGTGTTCCAGCTTCAGCCAGAACGATATGTCTGTCCATCTTTCTCCTTTCTTCCAGCACACACAGCTAAGAGATAAGAAGGCTGCAAGGATTGGGGATAAGGAGTATATTTTCAAGCCAAGAACCAGTAGAAAACAGAAATAATGGTGCTCCCAAATATTCAGTACCTTGGGCAATCCAGGAAGGGTTTAAAGAGACCTGTTGCTGCATAGAACTCTCCCTGCCCTACCCCTTAACTCCACCTTAGTGCCAGGGCCGAGGGCTGGTCTGCATGCTGGAAGAGGTTGAGAGTTTTGGAATTGATTCCATGCTAAATGTCAGTTACCAGTTTGGATTGATGAAAGTGATTTTTCTGCTTTACCTTTTTCCTGTCAGAAAGGTTTTCCTCTGTGCTACCCTTAACTTAGGGATGAACAGACTATAACTAGGAAAGGAGGAAAGGTATCAGGGATTTTTAAGTCCGTTTAGAGAGCAAACCATATTGTGCCTCTTCATCTTGACCCAGGCTCTTATAGATAGGTCCTAAACATTGCTGTTCACTAGATTATCTTAACAAATAATACTCAGCTAAATATTTGCATTTAGGAATACTCCTAAAACAGATATTGCCAACTAGATACACTGCCTCAATCTTGACCAGACAAGAGAACAGTTAAGTTCTCTCAGTTGGGTAGTAACTTGAATACCAGTCTATTTATCAGTTGGTTTCAACACAGAGGTTTCAAGTGGAAAGCCATTCATCTTAAAAGCTGAACAGAAAAATTAAAAAAAAAAAAAACACATTACAATCTGGCCTTTTAGAAAATGAAGCAGTAGAAACAAAACCTTTATTAGTATGGTATTCCAGCAGCACCTTTAAAGCAATCTTTACCTTAGTTTTTTGAGTTGTTTTACCTTTCATCCCAATCTGAAAAGTTTTAATAAATGCTGAGCTTATTCTTAGGGTATGACCTGGCATTATTTCCAGTGACTAGTCAGGCATTATGCCTGATGCATACGCCTCCCGTGCACCCCTATCTAGCCTTCAGATGTCCTCCACTGCAGGTCACCCCAGGAGATAGCATCAATAATATAGTCTCAGTCTTGTTTATAAAGATTCTAAGTTGTCTAGTAAATAAGTCTCCCTGAATCTTAAATAATTTTGGAGAATTAGAATTCTCCATCCTATTAAACAGAAAGTAAAGCCAAATAGCCTGGAGTTGTTTGTCCTACTTGTTCCATAACCCCTATGCTCAAGATACTGAAGCTATCTGTGGTATTTCATGTAACATTTCTAAGAATAAGAGCTGGCAAATGGGAAACTTGGGGTGGAGAGAGCATACTTATTGGGCTGTGAAGGCATACGGATGTACATGTTTTAGAGCTTATCTCAGATTTAAATAGCCAAAGGAAGACCTCATTGCCTTCCAGGTGAAGGTGCAAAGTCATACATATTAATGACCTGACAGTTAACATTCTGTTGTTTATTATTGCCTTTCTCCACCTTAGAGAGCCATAAATAACTCTCTGGTGAAGTGATTTGCTATAATGGGGGTGAGGAGTGGGGAGACTTCTCTGGTCATTACACTGCTATTTATTTCTAGAACTCACTATCAGTGAGCAGTGCCAGAGTGTTTTCTCTTTGACCTAGAGGTTTCACATCATAGCAAGGAGGGAAAAGTCTCCCCATCTCCTTACAACTGTGTGCTAAGTAAGTAACTTGGCCAAGGGTAGTTTTCAGCTCAATTTATAGAATAGTCCAAAGAGACTTTGAGAAACATGGTGATAGGCAGGGGCCTTTCCTACCATGTTTCAATACCTACAAACCTATTGAAAGAGAACAGTAGGTAAAACATTTCCTAAAGTTGAAGCAATAGCTTCGTAGATTCTTGGTTACTTTATTTTTTTTAATGCTTTACATTTGATACAACTATTGAAGATCAATTTTAAAAATAGCTTTCCAGTAATATATTTTAAGTAATATATATTTTAATATCTGTAAAAAGTGACAGTGGAAGACTTTGAATTTCTCATATATGGTATGTTTGATGTAGGACCTCACTGTTAAGGCACAAATTATTTCAAAGGAAGTTACTCTAAAGACACTCAGATTATTTCAGAAAAATGCAATAAGGGGAATAGTTTTGGGGTTTATTTTTTATTTTAAAAGAAAATTGACTTATTTACCACAAGCTATTTTTTTCCCTTCTGGCTGTAAGGTTTGTACAGACTGGTTTGGTAAATGCTAAACTTTTGTGTCTTTTGCCTTTTTAAAGGAATTGTTAACATTGGAATTGAGGGTATGTACAGAGAAGTTGGTGTCAACACCATTTAAAAAGTCATATTTTTTCACAAATATAGAAAATCATTTTACATAAGAATTTTAAGTATTTGCAATAAATATATGTATATAGATTGTATGTATTCCTATATTCTTATTTTTCATTTTATTATTAAGTAAAAGATCATTAAAAGTGAAAATAAAAACCTTGGAGTTTTTTGGTGAATCTTGAGGTTTAACATACATCTGAGAGTGGCGTGGGTAAGAGTCCTCAGTTACTGCCTTATACTCCTATGGGATGGTTCCCACAGATTGTATGGAAGAGAGTAAAATGAGGAACTTGGTGATAAATCAGGGTAGTGTATTTCTTTTGGAATTTAAGTAAAACTGATTAAATTTTCCTTATCTGTCTGTCTCCATGTTTTCTCCCTTAATCTGTTTTGTCTCCTAACCCCCTAACATTACTGGAAAAGTGAAGAAATGCGGTGCAGCCTCTTTATTAATGTGCCCATTGTTTGCTCCTAAATCAAAGAATGGTAAGGAAATATCTCGGGGGAAAAAATAGGTTTTCCTTTCTCCACAGTGGTTGACATTTACTGCCACCACTTTCCAGGCCTTAGGGGAGTGTGAAGAAATAGTTTCTTGAAGATGATAGAAATTTTTTTTTTTCCGTTTCCCAGTTCTCTCAGAAGTGAGTTTCATAGCCAGTCATGTCCTTCCTGCCCGTCTAATCTGGAGAGGTCAAAGAGCAAGGAAAATAATGTGAAGAGAAACACCTGTGCCTTGATTAGGTTCTATTTCAGCATTTGACACTTGAATTTTGAACTCCTCTGGGTCAGGAAGGGTAGCTATGGAAATGAGGTCTGAGCCAGTTGGTAGGAGAGGTTGTCTATGTTCCCATACCGAGATTGCTGTCTAATCCACGAGAACTCATTTTGTGGCTGCAAAGTAAATACTTGATTTTAGGATATGATAGGAGCAAAATGGTGCCTACATCGTCTTTATAAAGAAAAGTATATAGCCCATTTTTTAACAAATGAATAATATATCGAATCATTGATGACCTAAAAGAAAAATTGTTAAGGTCAGATTTTCGAGAGTGTATCTTGATGACCCATAAAACTGACTTTTTATTGTAGTTCACTAGTTCCCATAATTGCCCAGCTGTGGTTACTTTCACTGAAAAGAAAAAATATATTTTGGAAGTTAATGTAAGGATACATTGGCTTTTTTTTTTTTTCTTTACATTGGCTTTTTAAAAGACAGTTTTTATTTTTCAGATACTGGAATGTCAAGTATCTGGGTTGTCCCAAGACGTTGGAGATAATTCAGCCTTCCAAGAGAACAGCAGTCTAGATCTTAGCTGAAAATGTGCTGTTTCTAAAGGAAGCTTCTTAAGTCTCAGGGGACATTAGCATCTTCATAATTTCCATATATAATAAGAATGAAGGTAAAATATTTAAATGTGTATAAACTAATCCATAATGACCATTTACAAAGATTGACTCCCCATTTCTGGTACATATTTATCATTATTTAGATGGGTCTCCTATCTTGTGGGAAGATAAATTTATATTCAGGTGATGACATGGGTGCCTGCAAGTAGAGTTGGTCTGCAGCTGAGGGAGAAGGCAACATACCAGAAGACAAGGCAGCTTCAACCTGGATCCCCAGCTACCCTTTATTTACTTCACTGAGTCAGAAACCCGTGTTCATTGCTTCTGAGACTACTTGACCTCAGCTGGTCTTTAGAAGTCTGGTAACTTTTTATGTACAAATCATGTTATTTACTAATTCAAGTATTTATAGAGCACCTACTGTGCACTAAGCACTAAAGTGCTGGTTATGCAAAGGTAAGCAAAAATAGTCATGTAAGTTGCAGAAAGGTTTTCCTAAAGTAGTGACTATACAGCATGTTTTTAGTTCTAGGCTCAAGGAGTAATACTACCTTTTTCCCAAGATAGGTTGAAAATTTAAATGAGTTATGAAATGGAAGTGTTTGAGACACTGGACACAGTAGTGGCAAATACATGAAGAAAGAAGGTCCCTAGATGAAAAAAGTGTGGAAATGAGGAGCCATATTAATAAAATGCACCTTTTTTGAGAACTATTGTTGGAATAGCTAAAGTTGTCTATAGAAATTTCAAGAAATCTCTTAACATCTAAATTAGAAGCAGGCCAACAGCAATCTCTGTCAGTAGTTAATTTAGGTCAGTAAGTTAGTGTTTTGTTAAACTAACCCTTTCAAACACAGTTGGGTAAATAATGCAGCTTTCCTGTCACTGTTCAAACCTAAAAGAAGCTAAAGGGAATTTTTCTTAAAACATGATTTTCATCTTATAGATGATAAGTAACTGTATCTCTTCATTTGGAATTGTTGCATCCCAGTTTTTCTCCATAATGGATAAAATTACTTTTGTGTCCTTTTCTATTCTAATGTAGAAGTGGCTTTTCCTTTTTTCTCTTGAGTCACAACTTGAATTAAAAAGGGCTTCAGCAGGACTCTAGCGCTTTTTAAAGAAGAATTTGGTGTATTCCACTATGTAACGTAGTCTCTGTCCAGGAACCAGGAGGATGAGTGTCCTCAGTTTTCCTAATACTTGGTAACATTTAATAATAGATTGAGTTTTGCTTTTGTTTTTCATAGAGACTGTATAGACTCTGTACTTCCATGTAACTTTCTGCCTTAACCTAAAAAGGCATTCCCTGGAAGGAGATCTTGTAACAGGAAGAAAAAGCGAAACCAGGAAAAGAGCCAGAAAGGATCAACTTGGAGATGGGCTGTGGCTAAATAGTGGGTTTTCCTGAAAAGTAACTGCAACCTTGCTTTTCGTGCTTCTTCAAACCCAAAAGAACCTAAAGGGAATTTTTAAAAATCCTGATTTTCTTCTTAATTGTAAAACCTAGAGGATGCCTTAGGGAGAAGAAAGATAACCTGGAATTTGGTTTTAAATGGATTTAAGTAAACTTTGAATTAAGTAGCTTATTCCATTTTTGAGAGATTTCTTTTTAAGATTTTAGATTCACTTAATGTAATGTTGAATTGCCATGAATGTAACCTGGAGTTTGATTTGAGACATTCTGTGGGATAAGGAATAGTTTTCTATTGAACTGTGGTGGCTTTTGCCACTAATCAGGATTTAGGGCTGTGCACCTCCATCTGTTAAGTGAAATGGAACTTGGCTTCCTAAACACTATATTAGACCAACTTGAGTCAATACTTTTATTAAGTTTAATCAGGGATTCTCAAAATATTTAGGATTCAAATTAGCCCAATTAGAAAGCAGTGCATTAAATGTTACCAAAATATCTGAAGATACTTTAGAACTATTTTACACAAAGCTTATGTCTTTCCTATGGAAAGTATCATACATAAAATTTTACATTCTTTTAAAAAACAGAATCTAATGTCTTCAGATACCTAGAGCTTGGAAATTATAATAGAGTTGGGCTTTGACCCGAAGTCAGCAGTTCTTTTCATTTTAGATTTTCAGGCAAGTTTCAGTAGTTTGGAGACTTCTTCAGTAGTGACCCCAGCTTAACCTACATATAATCACTTTGCACACATTTTAAGTTAATCAGATGCTTCCAGAGTCTTGGATTTGGTTACCCCTTTGTTAGATAAGGAGACAGATTCTAGGTTGGGACAAACATCTTAATTTATTCTCTAATAATAAAGTACTGATTAAAGAGCAAGTTCTCAGAGAATTCACAAAATTTCTAGAATCCATGAAAGATCTAGAGAACATAACAAATGAAACTCTAGAAATTTGAAAGAAAAAAAAACACTTAGCTGTAAGTGCTTTGACCTATTTTTTTTAAAAAAAAAAAACCTGTCTTAATTCTGTGACTGCATTGCACCCTTCACCAGCACTAAGAGAAGTCGGAATGGAAGAAATTACCGTATGTAATTCTTATTCACTTAAAATCTTTGTGCGCATAGGCCTTAGCACTTTGACAAATAAACTCTGCCTTTTAGCTCCTCACTATTGTCTTCTTTCCTGTCACTTTTAGGCTGTTTCATTGGTCGTATAAAAACAACCTTCTTCGAAGTTGAATGTATGTTTCTGCACATAGACAAACCATATTTTACTGACTCATTCTATGTTGAATAAAGGCATACAGTTTTACCCTAGCGACTATGCCTTTTCTTTTCCAAAGAAAGCAGACACCATGTGGAATGGCTTACCTGCTTGTTATCTAGTCCTCTGTGCACAGCTGTCCCTGGGTCCTAACTAAAGTTGGTATTACAGAGAGTGCTAATCTTGTCAGAAAACAAAGGGGGTTTAAGAACTCAACACGAGCCAGACAGTGTGTATCTTTCAGAAATGAAAAGGAAACCCATACTACAAAGCTGCAGTAATCACAAAGGTGTGGTCCTGGCATAAAGACAGACATATAAACCAATGGAATACAATAGCCCATTAATAACTGCTCACATACATGGTCAAGTGATTTTCAACATGAGCGCCAAGCTCAGTCAATGGGGAAGGGGCAGTCTTCAACAAGTGCTGTTGGGAAAATGTGATATCCACATGAAAAAGAATGAAGTTGGACCCTTACACAATATACAAAAATTAACTCGGGGAAAATTATGAAAGTCTTAGAAGAAAACGGAGAGTTTCACAATTGGATTTGACAATGATTTCTTGAATGTTATGCCAAAAGCATGGACAGCAAAAGAAAAATAAAACGGTTTTTAAATTGTGCTTCAAAGGACATTTCACAGAATGGGAGGATATATATATTTGCAAGTCATTTATCTGATAATATTGAAAATACATAAAGAACTCAAAAACAAAAAATGGGCAAAAGACTGGAATTGCACAAAGGGCCTTGTGCATTGCTGGTGAAAATGTTAAATACAGCCATTTTGGATAACAGTATGGTGGTTAAACCATACTCAAAAAATTAATTATGTGATCCAGCAATTCCATTTCTAGGTATACACCTCAAAGAAGTGGAAGCAGGGACGTGAACACATTTGTATGTCAATGTTTTTAGCATTGTTCACAGTCATAAGGTAGAAGCAACTCAAATGTTCATTGACAAATGGATAAACAAAATGTGAATATTAGCCTTATAAAAAAGAAAATGCTGTCATGCTACAACATGGATAAGCCTTGAAGACATGCTAAGTGAAATAGAGAAAAGGACAAACATTGTATGATTCCATTTATATCAGGTATCTAGCCAAATTCTTGGAGACACTAGAATGCTGGTTATCAGGGGCTGGGGAGTCAGGAAGGATTGGGGAGTTAATGTTTAATGAGTACAGAATTTCCATTGGGAAAGATGAAGAAGTTCTGGAGACGGACAGTGGTGATGGATGCACAACATTGTGAATGTACTTAATGCCACAGACCTGTATGCTTTAAAAATTGTTAATAAGTTTAATGTATATTTTACCACTTTTTTTTTTAAAGAAAACCAAGTGGATAGAGAAAACATTTTCTTCTCTGAACAAGCTGAAAAGGCTAAATTAAAAGCAGTTTGTTTAAGGAAATAACCAGCAGTTAAGAAAAAGTCTAGAGAAACTAGTAGTGATGTAAAAACCAGCCATCTGTCTTCGAAGGAAGCAAGGCTCTTAGAGACCATTTTGCAGTGACTTGGAAAAGTGTCATTGGACCTAAGAAGCTGCAGCCGAAAATGGAACCAACTAGAACATCCAGTACAACCAGGAACCCAGAATGTGGGATCTGACCCACAAGGTGGGATTGTGTGAGACCAGGAGTTCAAGACCAGCCTAGGGAACACAGACCCCATCTCTACAAAAATAAGAAATCATCCAGGCATAGTGGTGCACACCTATAGTCCCAGCTATCTGGGAGGCTAAGGCAGGAAGATCTTTTCAGCCTAGGAATTCAAGGATACAGTGAGCTATCACTGACCCACTGTACTCCAGCCTGGGTGACACAGCAAGACCTTGTCTCCAGTAAAAAAGCCCATTAGCCTACACAAAAGTTATAAAGACATCTAACCCCCTTTCTTTTCCTAAGTGTTCTGTGGTTTAATTTTTAACAGTTAAAAGTGCAATTGATTTTGGCCTGGGCACGGTGGCTCACACCTATAATCTCAGCACTTTGGGAGGCCGAGGCGGGTGGATTACCTGAGGTCAGGAGTTCAAGACCAGCCTGGCCAATACGGTGAAACTCATCTCTACTAAAAGTACAAAAAAATTAGCTAGGTGTGGTGGTGGGCACTGTGATCCCAGCTACTTGGGAGGCTGAGGCAGGAGAATCACTTGAACCTGGGAGGTGGAGGTTGCAGTGCGCTGAGATCACGCCATTGCACTCCAGCTTGGGTGACGAGAGCAACACTCCATTTCAAAAAAGTGTACTTGATTTTGAACAAACTGTACATAAAGTGTACAATATGATAAATATTGCCACGTTTCACCACCACAATCATGATAACATATCCACCACCCGCCGAAGTGTCCTGTTTCCTCCTGACCCTCCCTCACACCATCCCAGGCAGCCATTGATCTCTCTGTCACTATAAGTTTGCATTTTCTAAAATGTTATATAAATGGAATCCTACAGTATGTGCTCTTTTATTGGTTGGAGGGGCTGGCTTCTTTCACTCAGATCAATTACTTTGACATTCATCTGTGTTGTCACATGTATGAATGGTTCATTCCTTTGTGTTGCTGAGTAGTGGTGTATGGATATACCACAGTTCATCTGTTGATGGACACGAGTTATTTCTAGTCGTTCATCATTACAAATAAAGCTGCTTTGCACAAGATTTCGTATGGAAATATGCTTTCATATCTCTTGGTGAAATACCTAAGAGTAGAATGGCTGGATATAGGTAGGTATATGCTTAACTTTTTAGGAAACGGCTAAACTATTTTCCAAAGTTGTACTATTTTACATTCCCACAAACGGTATGGGAGATCCAGTCCTTCCATTTCCTTGTCAACATGGGGGTCAGTGTTTTAGCCACTTTAACGGGACTGTGGTGGTATCTCCTTGGTGACTAATGTTGCTGAACATCTTTTCACGTGCTTATTTGCTATCCATATATCTTCTTTCACGAAGTGTTCATGAGTTTTTGTATATGGTAAGAGAGACAGATCAAAGTTCTTTGCATGTTAATATCCAATTGTTCTATCACATTTAAAAAGACTATGATTTTTCCACTGAATGACTTCCACATCTCTGTTGAAAATCAGTTTTGTATATGTGTGTGTGTCTATTTTTGGACTCTTCTGGTCCACCGATACATTTGTGTATCGTTGTTGTTGTTTTGAGACAGAGTCTCCCTCTGTAACCCAGGCTGGAGTGCAGGGCGCGATCTCAGCTCACTGCAACCTCCACCTCCCAGGTCCCGGTTAAAGCAATTCTCCTGCCTCAGCCTCCCAAATAACGGATTACAGGCACGCGCCACCATGCCTGGCTAATTTTTGTATTTTTAGTAGAGACGGGGTTTCACCATGTTGGCCAGGCTATTCTTGAATTCCTGAACCCGTGATCCGTCCACCTTGGCCTCCCAAAGTGCTGGGATTACAGATGTGAGCCACCACACCGTCCATATTTGTATATCTTTGAACCATCACCACATTGTCTTAATTACTGTAGCTTTATAAATAAATCTTAAAATTAGGTAGTGTTAGTCCTCCAACTTTGTTCTTCATTTACAAAATTGGTTAGGCTATGTTAAGTCTTTGCAGCTTATCAGTCGCTACAAAAATGTAATTTCGATTGGGATTATTTTTACACAATACATCAATTGGGGACAATTGAGATCTGAGCAATATTGTTCAATCCATCCATCTTTGTATATGCTTTAATTTCTCTAAGCAATGTCATAGGTTTCAGTGAATAGGTCTTACACATCTTTTGTGAGATTTAACTCTACATTTTAATATTTTAAATGATGCTATAAAATTTTTTTTAATTTCAATTTTAAAATTTAACACTCATTTTCTGAATGTTAATTGGTATAAACAATCAATTTATATTCTTGTACTTATTTTGTATCCTACTACGTCGCTAAACTCACGTATTGGATTTACTGGCTTCTTTGAACATTCCATTGGATTTTCTACACAGATAACAGTGTCATCTCCAAAGACAGTTTTATTCTGGATAACTTTTCTCCTTCTGCCTTACTGCTCTGGCTATAACCTCCAGTACTATGTTGAAAAGATGTGGAGAGAGTGGGCATCCTTGTTCTGATCTTATGGAGAAAGCATTTAGTATTTCATGTTAAGTGTGATGTTTAGCCGTAGGTTTTTCCTAGATGCCCTTTATCAGGCTGCGGAAGTTTTTGTTCTATTATGTGCTGAGTTTTTTACTGTTTTTTAATCAGGAAGGGATGTTGGATTTTGTCAGCTGCTTTTTCTGCATCTGTTGATACGATATGGTTTACTTTTTCAGTCTGTTACTATGATGAATTACATGGATTGACTTCAGGATATTAAACCAGCTTTGGATTCACTGATTTTCTGTATTGGTTTTCTGTATTGGTTTCCTGTTTTCTGTTCCACTGATTTTCACTCTGATACTCACTGTGTTTCATTTATTTTGCTTACCTTAGGTTTAATTCTTCTTTGTCCAGTGTTTAATTTGGAAGCTGATGTTATTAATTCGAGGCCTTTCTTCTTTTCTAATATAGGTGCTTAGTACTATAAATTTTCCCCCAAGTACTGCTTTCACAGCATCTCAACAATTCTCAGATGCTGTTGCTTCATTTCTTTTCAGTTCAAAATATGTTGTAAGTTCCATTTTAAAATGGTTTATTAGAATAAACATTTTTTTAAAATCTGCTAAATCTCTTTTATTTTTATTTATTTGTTTATTTATTTGAGACGGAGTCTCACTCTGTTGTCCAGGCTGGAGTGCAGTGGCACGATCTCAGCTCACTGCAAGCTCCGCCTCCCGATTTCACGCCATTCTCCTGCCTCAGCCTCCCGAGTAGCTGGGAATACAGGCGCCCACAACCACGCCCGGCTAATTTTTTGTATTTTCAGTAGAGAGAGGGTTTCACCATGTTAGCCAGGATGGTCTTGATCTTCTGACTTCGTGATCCGCCCACCTCAGCCTCCCAAAGTGCTGGGATTACAAGCGTGAGCTACCGCACCCAGCCAAAATGTGCTAAGTCTCAACCCCACTTCCTGTCATTTCTGTATGTATGACAAAATGGGGAGTTCATACATAAAACACTCTCACTGCATATTAAGGTATAGTAACAGAAAAAGTATTTGTGTGATTGAATCATGAGCTGAGCTAGTGCTTTTTTCATGGAACACTGCTTAAGAGAAGGACTGACTATGGTTGTTCAGATTTGGGGATTTCCTGGAAAATGAACAAAGTGAGCCTGTCACTTAAGAACAATTGACTGTCCAGGTGTGGTGGCTCACGCCTGTAATCCCAGCACTTTGGAAGGCCGAGGCAGGTGGATCACCTGAGGTCAGGAGTTCTAGACCAGCCTGGCCAACATGGTGAAACCCCGTTTCTACTAAAAAAATACAAAAAATTAGCTGGGTGTGGTGGCACATGCCTGTAATCCCAGCTACTTGGGAGGCTGAGGTAGGAGAATCACTCGAATCCGGGAGGCAGAGGTTGCAGTGAGCCAAGATCGCACCACTGCACTCCAGCCTGGGCAACAGAGTGAGACTCCGCCTCAAAAAAAAAACAAAACAAAAAAAAACAGCAATTGACAGTATTTGTTGGCAATGTTAAAATTTGAGCTTTAAAGTAAAACATTGGGGGGAACTATATATCCACCACCATGAGCTAGACAGTTTCCCAACACTTTAAGACTTTTTGAGGAATCAAAAATACTGAAATTACAGATACACACACACACACACACACACACACACACACACACACATATATATATTTGATATTGTATCCCGAATCCAAAAACCATTCCCTAGAGAAACAGGCTCAGTAGACACTTAGTCTGCCTTCTTGAGACCAGAAAGTTTGAGAACGCTGCTCTACCCTGCTCTGGATTATAAAGTATTTGATGGGGCTACACTCCAGGCCCACCTGCTGAGGCACCTCTCTCAGCCATTGCTACTCTGTCAGTCCAATACCACAGTTTATCTGAGCCTTGCAATTAGTATCCCCACACTGAGTGTGGGGAATAAGGACACTAGCCTTGATATTCTTGGATCAACCCATACTCATGTGAGTATTTCACTATTGCAGTTTTGACACAGGTCAGCCAAGAGACCTTGCACCTAAATTCCTGCCCTTCTCTTTTTTTGTCCCCAGATCCTTTCCTGTCTGGTGGAAGGGCTTTCTCCTCCATGCGTGGCACAAATCTATGCTTCCTACTCTCTCTGGTTTATTCTTTATTATAAGTCCTCTAAGAGGCTTTATTTCTTCATATGTAGAAACCCAGCTTTAGGGTTTCTAAGAAATAGCTCTATCTTTCTCAAAAAAACCTAGCTTTCAAGACAATTGTCTCACTATGGACTTTAAAAAAGTCTGGTTGACACATGCACACGTATGTTTATTGCGGTACTATTCACAATAGCAAAAACTTGGAACCAACCCAAATGTCCCTCAATGATAGACTGGGATAAGAAAATGTGGCACATATACACCGTGGAATACTATGCAGCCATAAAAAAAGATGAGTTCATGTCCTTTGCAGGGACATGGATGAAGCTGGAAACCATCATTCTCAGCAAACTATCACAAGGACAGAAAACTAAACACTGCATGTTCTCACTCATAGGTGGGAATTGAACAATGAGAACACTTGGACACAGGGCAGGGAACATCACACACCGGGACCTGTTGGGGTCGGGGGCAGAGGGAGGGGTATCATTAGGAGAAATACCTAATGTAAATGATGAGTTAATGGGTGCAGCAAACCAACATGGCACATGTATACCTATATATCAAACCTGCACGTTGTGTACATGTACCCTAGAACTTAAAGTATAATGAAAAGAAAAAAAAAGTCTGGTTGAAGCACGAAGCTGAGCCATAATGTCTTTGTTTTAGCTAATGTCCATCCTCTTTCCTTGGGACAGTAAGCTTCGACCTCATTGTTTGACTGAAAGGTTTGGCAGGGTGCAGGACGAATCACTGAGAAGGAAAAGCACCTTATTACCTCAGCTGGATCGGCAGTGTTAAGGATGTTAAAGGAAATGTTTAAAATGCTGAGAGCCTTGGTAATGAATGCTTCTGAATGTGTATGTTGTCACTGGAGTATTATGACAAGGATGAGTTGGAGGGGAAAACCCATATGTTTCAATCATCTTTTTTTAGTTCTGCATACTAGGGGTTCAGTAAATATATGTCTAATTCAATATAATTCATTTGTAATTTTCAAATTCTTTTTTTTTACATTTGAGGGGTGGGGAAACAGGACAAACAGAATTCAAGAAGGGGAAGGAAGTCATCTCAGAGAGGGAAAAGTTAAATACTTTAATGTCAAATTATATTAAAATGATTAAATTCATAAACTTATAGCTGAGCAGATAAAGGCATATCAATGTTATATTCTTTTAGGCGTTCCTATTGTGAATGAAAAAAATGCTTTTCTAAACATTACCTCTTCTCAATTTATTTGCAAGTATGTACATTTAAACAATTCAGTATACTATTGCTATGGTCTGCATGTGTGCCCCCAAATTCATGTGTTGGAAATGTATTCCCCACTACAACAATGGTTGGGAGGTAGGGGCTTTTAGGGTGTTGTTAGGTTATGAAGGCTCCACCCTTGTGAATGGATAAATGCTGCTTTATTATAAAAATGGGGCCTGGCATGCTGGCTCATGCCTGTAATCCCAGCACTTTAGGAGGCCAAGGTGAGAGAATTGGTTGAGGCCAGGAGTTTGAAACCAGCCGGGGCAACATAGTGAGACCCCATCTCCACACACACACACACACAAAATATTGGAAATGTAGCTGGGGATGGTGGCACACACCTATAGTCCTAGCTACTCCTGAGGCGGAAGCAGGAGGATTGCCTGAGCCCAGAAGTTTGAGGATACAGTGAGCTATGATGGCGCCACTGCACTCCAGTCTGGGTGACAGAGGAAGACCTTGCGTCCTGAAAAAAATAAAAGTTAAAAAGGGTGAGGCTTGTGGGAGGGGGTTTGCTCTCTCTTGCCCTTCTGCTTTCCGCCACGTGAGGACACAGCCGGAAGACCCATACTAGATGGTGGTGCCTTGACCTCGGGCTTCCCAGATCCCAGGAGTGTGAGAAGTAAGTTTCTTTCCTTTATTAATTACCCAGGCTCAGGCATTTTGTTATCGCAGCACAAAATGGACTAACACAACACTGTGTCTCTTCTCTTTGCTGAATCAATACTTCTATTTTAATTGCAAATAGTAATACTGGCAATCACTTTTTTTTTTTTTTTTTTTTTTTTAGCATTAACCATGTGCTTAAGGGTTGGAAACAGTGGTCTCAGGAGGAGGAAGGGAGCGAAGGTGATGGCAGACTCTCCTCTTAAGTGTGACAGAGCCTCACATGTCAAGGTTAAACAGGTACTGGCCCTTTGAGAAGAAGGGGGAAATCTGGGTTTTTCTGTTATTTATGGCAGTCCACCCACATTTATGTCACACAGCTGCAATTCACAAAGCACTTGGCAAAAGTTACCACATTTCATCCGCATTACTCTCCTGTGAGGTAGAGATTATCATGCTTATTGAACATACAAAACACCGAGGTTCAGAGGGGATCGGGGGTCCTCAGTTACACAGCTAGCCAGTGGCAGAGTTGGGGGTTGAACCCCATTTTCTGCATCCTGGACACAAGCTGAGCTGCCCTAGCCCCACCTCCCTCCTGAGAAGGGGAGAGTATGCCCCGCTATGGCTGCGGCCGGCCTGCTTGATATTGTTCTCTTTTGGGCACTACCATCCACCAGGGAGAGATCCAAGGCTCCTCCAGGGGAAAGAAAGCTCTGCAATTAGACTAAATATAGTCTGGGAGAGGCTGCACCTCATTTGGACTAATTATCCTGTCACCCATTAGAAGAACAAAGAGTGAAGAATTTTCAAGCCTCATCATTTCCATTCCTCTCACTAGCTTGGACTTCTATATAATTGACCTGACCCCTCGGGCCTGGAGATAAATGTTAACAGAGCATACATGCTGACTGAGAAACGTCTGAGCTGCTGAGGAAGACCATGGCGATAATTCTCCTTCACTTTCCAGCACAATCCAGACTCCATCAGAATTGGAGGGACACTGGCCTGATGAGAGATTCCTCAGTCCTGGTAATGCTCAGATGAGGGCAGGGAACAAGAAAAGGCCATCGGTGGAAACCCAGTTGACAGTCAGTTGCATAAAGTATTGATATTCCATTTTGCAAAACCCTTCTTGTTGTTCTAACAAACACTGAACACATACTATGTGCAAGGCAGTGGGCAGTTTATTAAATATGTTTGAAGGAAGCCAGGAGAAACTCAATGGATCCCTAAGAGTTGAATTCAAAACCAAAGTTAGAGAAATTCAAGAGAAGGCAAGGTACTTTGGTCAAGATGTGTGCATAGCCGTTAAGGTTTGGGATAAAATGAAATATTGTTTCAGGATGGTTTTATTAAATTCTTGTTTCTTTTAGGGAAGACCTGCAGAACACTTGGCATCAACCAGCAAAAACATTTTTAAAAAGAGTAGTGCTTCATAGAACACAGATAAAATCCTATTAACCACAGATACTACAAATGACTTTTATGAACTTGTGACTTTCCATTGTGGATGATTTTCTTATGCAGGCATAACATCTGTTGATGGCCTCAGAAATCGTTCTATCCCCCTCTCCCCTCTCCCTTGCCGAAGCTGGACGGTACTGCTGCCATCTCAGCTCACTGCAACCTCCCTGCCTGATTCTCCTGCCTCAGCTTGCCGAGTGCCTGCTATTGCAGGCGCGCGCCGCCACGCCTGACTGGTTTTCGTATTTTTTTGGTGGAGACGGGGTTTCGCTGTGTTGGCCGGGCTGGTCTCCAGCTCCTAACCGCGAGTGATCCGCCAGCCTCGGCCTCCCGAGGTGCCGGGATTGCAGACGGAGTCTCGTTCACTCAGTGCTCAATGGTGCCCAGGCTGGAGTGCAGTGGCGTGATCTCGGCTCGCTACAACCTCCACCTCCCAGCAGCCTGCCTTGGCCCCCCAAAGTGCCGAGATTGCAGCCTCTGCCCGGCCGCCACCCCGTCTGGGAAGTGAGGAGCGTCTCCGCCTGGCCGCCCATCGTCCGGGATGTGAGGAGCCCCTCTGCCTGGCTGCCCAGTCTGGAAAGTGAGGAGCGTCTCTGCCCGGCCGCCATCCCATCTAGGAAGTGAGGAGCGCCTCTTCCCGGCCGCCATCACATCTGGGAAGTGAGGAGCCTCTCTGCCCGGTCGCCCATCGTCTGAGATGTGGGGAGCACCTCTGCCCTGCCGCCCCGTCCGGGATGTGAGGAGCGTCTCTGCCCGGCTGCCCCGTCTGAGAAGTGAGGAGACCCTCTGCCTGGCAACCGCCCGGTCTGAGAAGTGAGGAGCGTCTCCGCCCAGCAGCCACCTCGTCCGGGAGGGAGGTGGGGGGGTCAGCCCCCCGCCCGACCAGCTGCCCTGTCCGGCAGGTGAGGGGTGCCTCTGCCCGGCCGCCCCTACTGGGAAGTGAGGAGCCCCTCTGCCCGGCCAGCCGCCCCGTCCAGGAGGGAGGTGGGGGGGTCAGCCCCCCACCCGGCCAGCCGCCCCGTCCGGGAGGTGAGGGGCCCCTCTGCCCGGCCGCCCCTACTGGGAAGTGAGGAGCCCCTCTGCCCGGCCACCACCCCGTCTGGGAGGTGTACCCAACAGCTCAATGAGAACGGGCCAGGATGACAATGGCGGTTTTGTGGAATAGAAAGGGGGGAAAGATTGAGAAATCGGATGGTTGCCGTGTCTGTGTAGAAAGAGGTAGACATGGGAGACTTTTCATTTTGTTCTGTACTAAGAAAAATTCTTCTGCCTTGGGATCCTGTTGATTGGTGACCTTACCCCCAACCCTGTGCTCTCTGAAACATGTGCTGTGTCCACTCAGGGTTGAATGGATTAAGGGCAGTGCAAGATGTGCTTTGTTAAACAGATGCTTGAAGGCAGCATGCTCCTTAAGAGTCATCACCACTCCCTAATCTCAAGTACCCAGGGACACAAACACTGCGGAAGGCCGCAGGGTCCTCTGCCTAGGAAAACCAGAGACCTTTGTTCACTTGTTTATCTGCTGACCTTCCCTCCACTATTGTCCTGTGACCCTGCCAAATCCCCCTCTGCGAGAAACAGCCAAGAATGATCAATTTAAAAAAAAAAAAAATTGTTCTATCTGTAATATAATAAGATTCTGTAATACCACATTTGACATCTGCAACAAGTTCCAAGTAAAAGACTGCAATAGAAAAAAATGTTTTGCACATTTCAGATCAGATGTTGCATATTTAAAAATCAAATCTCATTTCTAAGAAAAGGATGTAGCTTGTTTTGCCAACAGGGCACAAAATAGAGTTCAAAAGGTTCATGTCACAGTTTGAATCACCATCCAACCAAAGTGTGGAGAGACGATTCATACATCTTGTGTCTGGCACTAACTAGTGGCTATCCAAGCTTCATCAACAACAATAACAGTACATATTTGCTGATAATCCCCTATGATAAAGTGAGCATGCCAAAATTATTAGGTTAGTGCAAAAATAATTGTGGTTTTTGCCATTTTTAACGGCAAAAACCGCAATTACTTTTGCACGAACCTAATATCATGAATTTTATATACACCTCCTCGCTTTCCTTCAGAGGGGAATGCTGCTACAAGACAGGATTCTGCTTCAGAACCCAGCTATGAGAGAGGCACTCTCCCACTACCCAGAAGGTAGAAGAGAGGAAGTAGGCTCAAATCCACCGAAGTGCTTCTGGGAAGCGGAGCAGGAGGCAAAGAAGTAAGTCGAGGTGGGGAACCAGGGTGCATGAAGCTGAGCAGAGGACTGGCCATTCTGGTGGTTTTGATTTTTCTGTGTTGGTTAGTTCCCTGCTTCTTTGGTGTCCTCTCTCTCTCTCTCCCTCTCTCTGTGCTACATGCACCCCTTCCTGATGTTGTTCTATTTTGCTTCACTCTTCCTCATCCTCTGCTTTGTCCAAAATCTGATTGCCCTGCTGCACATGTGTGCCCTGAACCCCATTACTCTGAAATCTGGGCTGCCCCAAAGACCAAATTGGATTAATTATGCCCAAGCAAACTTTGAAAACACTTTAAAAAGAAAAGAAAGAAGGCCAAATGAGCTGAAGACAGGTTCAGTGACCTGGAGATGATGTGGTTCATTTGCATATCTTGGTAGGGTTTTCAAAGGGTAAAGAAGGCAAGATCTTTTCCAGGAGCTTTTTGTTTGAACAACTTATTTATATAAGAGAATCAGTTAAATATCACCTTCACCAAAAGAATTATGTTGGAGTGCTGAAAACTCTGAAGCAATCACTCGCAGGTCAATTTTCTCTGCCCTGAGAGGAATGTGTTTCTGAATCCAGAAGTTAGGATAGCTTTGTCCACCCTCTCCTCGAACATGGGCAAGTGTCATGGAACACAGAATATAAAAGCCAGGCTTTCTAAGACTTTAAGAGTAAAAGGTGTTTCTCTGCCTTGGCAGCCAAAAATAAATGACTGTGGACTAAGCACGTACCTTCTAGACCACGGTTTCTCAGCCTTGACACTTGAAACTTTGGGTCAGGTAAGTCTTTGTTGTAGGGGCTGACCTGGGCATTGCAGGATGTTTAGCAGCATCGCTGGCCTCCACTCAACTAGATGCCAGGAGTGCACGTCCACACACACACATATGCAACTTATGACTATAAAAAATGTCTCTAGACATCGCCAAATGTCCCCTGGGAGATGAAAATCAACCCCTCTTGAGAACCACTGCTTTAGAGAAGGGGGTGAAGTATTCTGTTCCAAAACATACATATAAGACCTTAAGTGTTTTCAAGTATTTAGGGAAAAATGGTGTTTTAGAAAAAAATATAGTGATAGCTTAACCTTCACAGGTTCCAGGGCACTGCTCCAAGCTGTGACTTCTGCTAAACTATTGTGCTTCAAAAGAGAAGGAACAATATGTGTCACAGTCACTGCTATGGTTATTACACCCAGTATAGTGCCCAGGGCTCAGTACGTGCTTAAAAACATTTGTGACATTATTACCATTTAATGAGCAAATACTATGTGCTAAGCACTATGACATGTTCATATATCATCCTTAATCTTTACAACAACACTAATAGGATAGGCATTAAAGTAAGACTCTTCAATAAAGCAAATCCAGATAGTCATGCAATTGTTATTTGATTCCCAGTTCCTTGCCTTCCCCCAGCTTCTATGGGAATGAGCTAAAATTTCTACCAACACGAAGGGGGAGGACTGCAACTCACTTTTGGGGAGAGGAGAAGCAGAGTGAGTCCCCATTTCCTCTGCATTTGCTCAGCCACATTTCCCTGGATCCAAAAAACAAGGTGGCAGGTAACTAGGAGATTCCTGGAATAATTCCTCTGCTGTCCTGGGCACTTTAGTCAGCCACAGGACCCATGCTTGTTGCCATCAATATTTAAACTGGAGTAAACAATGCCCAGGTGGCTGTAAACCACAGCTGAGCCTGGGAAGGATTTAACTTGCATAGCCAGAACCCTGGAAACCCAAATCATGACATACATTTCTCACTAATGCACCCTTGCATTTTATAAGATTGACCGCTCCTGCCCACTCATCACGCCATGCTGGAGTTTTACTGTATCATCTCTATGGTACAAATGAGGAAACTGAGGCCCTATGAGGTTGCATGATTTGTTCAAATCACAAAGCTGCTCTATGGTGTCCTGAGATTTGAAACATGCAAGGTTAGGCTGACTCCATAGTCTTTCCACACATATCTTCCAGAGTGGAGCTGGTGATTGCCATTCCTGCATCCCATGTGTCCTAATCCCCTGAATGGTTTTGAGTCGGGGGATCATATTCTCTATTGTGTGGGCTTGGGAGGGGCAGATGAACAGGACCTGGTCCAGAGCCAACAGGCTTCAAGCTCTGCCAAGCAAGTGTGTAGCAGGAATACCAGGACGAATAGCAGGCAGGACTGGACTGGCCAGGTAAGAACAGGCAGAGGCAAAACAGGCAGCCTTTATTATGAGATTGAACAAGATGAGGCAGAACCCATAATCCAGCACTTGCTCACCGCTCCTGCTGTAGACGGGACCACCGAGTGAATCCCTGCCTCCCAGAGAGGCCTGGGCAGGATGCCTGGCATCAGATAAGCCAGAGGTCTTGGCAGACTGCCCAGACCCCACCCAGGGAAGGTGCAGTGTTGGGGAGCATGCATGCTAAATACATACACACACACACACACACACACACACACACACACACACACACAAATGTATGAGGCAGAAGGCTAGCTGGGTATAGGAGTAAGCTGTGTTTTTTACATATATTTATCACGTAGGACTCTTCAATTCTTTAAAAAAGTTTTGCTTTGGGCAGTTGTGTGGTCACCAACCTGGTTGTTGGTGTAAGTCAGTGAGTGCTGCCAGGCAGCACAGACCAGGAGTCCAGCTAGTTAGGAAAGCCAAGCACATAACCATTTCTAGCAGAGATGGTTGAAACCAAGATGCTTTAATTCAAAGAGGAGCCGCGGGGCACAGTGACACCATTTCCCTTAACTGGGAACACCACTACAGGGAGGAAACTAGGTCTGCTGTGGAGGTGTAAGCTGAACAAAAGGAAACAGAACAGAAACAAGGTTCAAATAAGCGGGTGGTGTCAGCACCCCCACAACCCACACCAGGTGTAAGCCTGGGTGGGTGGTTCCTCCTGGACAAGGGAGCTGGCTTACTTGAGGTGAGGAGATCAGGATGGCATCTCACAGAAAGGACATGGGACAGGTTTGCCTCACCCCTCCGTCTAGGTACAACTGTTGTTTAAGAGGTGATACACTGGCCTGCCAAGATGCAAATCTGTGTACTCATAACCTTCATGTCAAATTCTGTTCTTAATTCTGCAGGGAAAATGATAGTGAACAATCGCACCTATGACATCCCTTCCCTTCATCGTGTGAACTCATGTCATACATTGCATATGTTACAGCTTAAAATTATTTTCTATTATTTTGCTAATCAAATTCTATTGATGTAGATGAACTCAAATGCTTGGTCCTTCCTTCTCATTTCTTTTTTAATGCATGGAAAATTAGTTGTATAGTAGTAGTTAGAAAGTTAGTAGCTTATACTTTTTAAAAATGTAGGCCAGGTACAGTGGCTCACTCCTGTAATCCTAGCACTTTGGGAGGCCGAGGTGGGTGTATCACCTGAGCCCAGGAGTTTGAGACCGGCCTCTCTACTAAAAATAGAGAGTAGAGACCCCATCTCTACTAAAAACACACACACAAAAAAAAAACTAGCCAGGTGTGGTGACACACACCTGTAGTCCCAGCTACTAGGGAGGCTGAAGTGGGAGGATCGATTGCTTGAGCCCAGGAAATCGAGCCTGCAGTGAACCGTGATCACGCCACTGCACTCCAGCCTGGGTGACAGGAATGAGACCCTGTCTCAAAAAATAAAAAATAAAAGTGTAGACCAGGCGCAGTGGCTCACGCCTGTAATCCCAGCACTTTGGGAGGCCAAGGCAGGTGGGTCACAAGATCAAGAGATTGAGACCATCCTGGCCAACATGGTGAAACCCTCTCTACTAAAAATCCAAAAAAAAAAAAAAAATTAGCTGGGCGTGGAGGTGCATGCCTGTAAGGGAGGCTGAGGCAGGAGAATTACTTGAACCCGGGGGGCAGAGCTTGCAGTGAGCTGAGATTGCACCACTGCTCTCCAGCCTGATGACAGAGCAAGACTTCATCTCAAATAAAATAAAATAAAATAAAAATGTATTCAGATATTTACTGAACTACTATTTGGCTACTACTAGCACCTAGTAGGCTTTTTCAAGACCCTGGGGGACATAAGACACATATAGTTCCTGCTCTCATGGTGCTGACATTCTGTTGGGGGGGATAATAGTGGGAAAGAAATGTCCATGTAGATAATATAATTCCAAATAGGGATAAGCACATTAACTAAGACAACGCATTATCGTTCCTAAATTATTGCATTTATTGTTCTATGTAACACTCAGAAGCTCACTCCAAGTGATCTTCTCCCTTCTCCTCAGTGTCCTTATAGAGCATGAGCCTATTTGCATGTGTTCCTTCTGTCAGCAGGGGCACTTAGCTCAGCTATTGTTTTCAGTGGGCTAGTATGTGTCATATTTTTTTTTTTTGAGACGGAGTTTCGCTCTGTTGCCCAGGCTGGAGTGCAACGGCGTAATCTCGGCTCACTGCAACCTCCACTTTCTGGGTTCAAGTGATTCTCCCACCTCAGCCTCCCAAGTAGCTGGGATTACAGGTGCATGCCACCACGCCTGGCTAATGTTTTTTTTTTTGTATTTTTAGTAGAGATGGGGTTTTACCATGTTGCCCAGGCTGGTCTTGAACTCCTGGGTGCAAGCGACCCACCTGCCTCAGCCTCCCAAAGCGCTGGGATTACAGGCATGAGCCACTGCGCCCGGCCACCGGCCATGTTTTCATCTAGACTCCACCATAAGACAAGGTATGAATCCTTCTTCTCATTCTGCTTCCATCTCTTCTGTCTAGTTGCTGAGCAGATCTCAAGATGGGAAGCTAGAAAGAATGACAGGACTGTCTAGAGAAGGAAGGTCATGTAAGAATGGAATCTGATCTCCTTTTTTCCTAGATGCTAACATTATATCCTCTGCCTCCTGCCTTATTTTTAAGTCTTTTCTCAAGAAACATAAACAAGAGTCCTGTTTGCTTCCCTATGCTCCCAGTTCAGAGATGCTGCATTGAACTGGACAGGTTAGACTGATCTGGAGAGTCCAGATGGAATAGTCCCAAAACTTATTCCCTAGCAGGCAATTAAGGAATCTGTAAGGAATAAATGAGTCAATGAATCTACAATGAATCTACAAGGGATCCAATCAGTCATCAAGCCTTTATCACGCACCTATAATTTGCCAGGCACTATATTGATATTTGACAGACAAAAATAATTAAGCACACTCCTGACATGGAGGAAAGAAGGCATGTCCACAGTTAATTTTAGAACAATACATAAAATTCCATAACAGCAGGATCAAAAGTACCACAGGAACACAGGGCAGGGATCCAGTCTGACTAGCAGATTGGAGGTGGCTCTGTGTATGAAATATCATCTGATCTGGTCTTTGAAGGAGGTGTGAAAATTTCAGAGAGGAAAGGCTACACGTTTCAGGCAGAGGAGAAAGGGCCTGGCAATGCATTGTTTAGTAGCCTGAGTGCTACATCTTTAATCCCCTTCCTTACCCTACAGTGCCTCTTCCCCTCACATGGCTCCATTAAAAAAGTAACATTGGCTGGGCGCGGTGGCTCACGCCTGTAATCCCAGCACTTTGGGAGGCCGAGGTGGGCAGATCATGAGGTCAGGAGTTCAAGACCAGTCTGGCCAATATGGTGAAACCCTGTTTCTACTAAAAACACAAAAATTAGCCAGCCATGATGGCAGGCACCTGTAATCCAAGCTACTCAGGAGGCTGAGACGGGAGAATCATTTGAACCTGGGAGGCAGAGGTTGCAGTGAGTGAAGATCACACCATTGCACTCCAGCCTGGGTGACAGAGCGAGACTCTGTCTACAATAAATAAATAAATAAATAATTTTTTAAAATAACATTAAGCTTCACAGAGAAAGAACTTGGGTAGGAGCCATGCATAAAGTACAGTGGAAACTAGAAATCAATAATGTATGTTAAGGAACAATGTCCTTCTAAACATAGAATTGCTGGCTTCAAATTAGCTGCCACTCGGCCTTCATTTAGTTCTTCTAGCCACCATTTAAGCCTTATTCCCTGTTAATATACTACCCTATGATAGTTGAACATTTCTCCTCTTTTTTTGGGGTGGGGGACAGAGTCCCCAAAGTGCTGGGATTACAGGCGTGAGCCACCATACCCGGCTGGGGTCTTTCCAGTTTTTTATGCTTCTTTTTTTTTTTTGAAACTGAGTTTCACTCTTGTCGCCCAAGCTGGAGTGCAATAGCGCAATCTCGGCTCACTGCAACCTCTGCCTCCCAGGTTCAAGGGATCCTCCTGTCTCAGCCTCCCAAGTACCTTGGACTACAGATGCACGCCACCATGCCCAGCTAATTTTTGTATTTTTAGTAGAGACAGGGTTTCACCATGTTGGCCAGGCTGGTCTCAAACTCCTGACCTCAAGTGATCCTCCCACCTCGGCCTCCTGAAATGCTGAAATTACAGGCGTGAGCCACCGCTGTTGGTCTATGCTTGTTGACAGAGCTACAGTGAACATGTCACAGAGCTACAGTGAACACATATCACAGTTCTTTCTCCTTTAAAAGGTATGCTGAGTTTTGAACCCTTGTTATATTGCTGCCACATTCCTCTCTGGTTAAAGTGTCACCAGCTGTGCTTCAGGGGTCTATTTTCCCACAGCCCCCCCAAACTGGGTTTTATTTTTATTTATTTTGGCTTGTGTCGTGGTAGCATTAAATGATTTAATTGGTATTTTAAAATTGCTAATGCGGTTTTGTGAGGATTAAATTAGAAAATATATCTACAAAGGCGTGGCACATAGTAAGCTATTATTATTATTATTACTCCTAGCAGTTATTGAATGAAAAGTTAGATACTGTAGTGACCTTATATATTTGTGTTTTGTTCTTATGTTTTTGTGCAGAGGGGCTCTTTCTCTTCATCCACACGGGAGCTCCTGCTCAGTCCTTTCTCTTTTCTATCCTCACTCTGTGAGTGACTTCATTTAGTCTCAAGTCTTTAATGCCATCTGCATGCTGGCAGCACTGAAGTTCATGTCTCTGGTGTGGACCTCTCTGCTGTACTCCAGCATGTTTAACAGCCTGAATTCATGTCTCTGGTGTGGACCTCTCTGCTCTACTCCAGCATATCTAACTGCCTATTCAACTTCTCCGCCTGGAGGTGGCATCTCACACTTAACTGTGCAGACTGAACTTCAATTCCTTGCAGATGTTGCTCCTCCCATTGCCTTTCCCATCTCAGTGAAAACACCTCCTTCCAGGCTCTCAAGCTGAAACCTTTGAGTATTTCTTTTCTTTTTTCTTTTTCTTTTTTTTTTTGGAGACAAGGTCTTGCTCAGGCTGGAGTGCAATGGTGCAACCACAGCTCACTGCAGCCTCAGCATCCCAGGTTCAAGAGATCCTCCCACGTCAGCCTCCCAAGTAGCTGGGACCACAGGTGTGCGCCACCACGCCTGCCTAACTTTTTGTTTGTTTTTAGAAATGGTGTCCCACTATGTTGCCCAGGTTGGTCTCAAACTCATGGACTCAAGTGATCCTCCTGCCTCGGCTTCCCAAAGTGCTAGGATTACAGGTATGAGGCACCACCCCCATCCAGTATTTCTTAACTCATGTTTTTCTCTTACACTCTGCATCCAGCCTCTAAATCCTTTAAACACTTTCTTCAAAATATATACTATACAAAACACTATCTTCGAAATATTCCAGCATCTTCCCACCACCTCCATCTTCACCACGCTGGCCAAGACACCATCTTTCACCTGGATCTCTCACCTGTAAAACCTTCCAACTGGTTTTCCTACCTGTACATATCCATCTTCATGACCTCAGATTTTACCTTGGGTCTCCTCCTGATCATGAGAAGCTACTACAGTCCCAGCTGCAAGGTGAGACGTGACAGTGTGCAGTGGAAGAAGAAGATATCTCTTATGAAGAGGGAGAAAATCATTGCCAGAAGCTCACCAGCAGGGTCCCCTCACTTGCCCATCCCTAAGCCAGTCTTTGGCAAAAGGAAGGTGATTGCCAGGCTGACAGGGTCTAGTCAGGATTACCATTGAGCTAAGGAGGGGGTCATCTTCTCTTGCAAGTAGACTCCTAAGCAAAACTGGAGCTCCATTTATTGGAGAAGAAATGGGGGTAGATTTGGGTAAACATCCAAACAGAATCTGTCACAGACCGGTTGCGGTGGCTCATAGCCTGAGGTCAGAAGTTTGAGACCATCCTGGCCAACGTGGTAAAACCCCATCTCTACTAAAAATACAATTTACCAGAACAAATTACCACTAACGGGTTGGCCTAAGACAGCAGAAATTCATTTTCCCACAGTTCTAGAGGCTGGCAGTCTGAAATCAAGGTGTTGGCAGGGCCACATTCTCTCAAAACTCTAGTGGAGAATTTCTTGCATGCCTTTTCTTAGCTTCTGGTGTTGCTTTTTTTTTTTTTTTTTTTTTTTTTTGAGACAAAGTCTCGCTCTTGTCCCCCAAGCTGGAGTGCAATAGCGTGATCTTAGCTCACTGCAACATCCGCCTCTCGGGCTGAAGTGATTCTCCTGCCTCAGCCTCCTGAGTAGCTGGGACTACAGGCGCCTACCACCAAGCCTGGATAATTTTTGTATTTTTAGTAGAGACGGGGTTTCACCATGTTGGCCAGGCTGGTCTCGAACTCCTGACCTCAGGTGATCCACCCGCCTTGGCCTCTCAAAGTGCTGGGATTATAGGCGTGAGCCACCGCACCTGGCCTGGTGTTGCTCTTTAGTTTGTGGGTGGATCACTCCAATCTCTGCCTCCTTTATCACATGGCATTCTCACTGTATGTCTTCTCCTCTTCTTCTTCTTCTTCTTTTTTTTTTCCTTCTTTTTGAGACAGAGTCTTGCTCTGTCGCCCAGGCTGGAGTACAGTGGCACCATCTCAGCTCACTGCAACCCCCACCTCCTGTGTTCAAGCAATTTTCCTGCCTCAGCCTCTCAAGTAGCTGGGATTACAGGTACCCACCACCACACCCGGCTATTTTTTGTATTCTTAGTAGAGACGGGGTTTCACCATGTTGACCAGGCTGGTCTCCAACTCTTGACCTCAGGTGATCTGGCTGCCTTGGCCTCCCAAAGTGTTGGGATTGCAGGCGTGAGCCACCACGCCTAGCCATCTTCTCCTCTTCTTATAAGGATAGTCATACTGGATTAAGGACCACTCTACTCCCGCATGACCTCATCTTAACTAATTACATCTGCAATGACCCTATTTCCGAATAAGGTCAGAGTCTTAGGTACTGGGGGTTAGGACCTCAGGACTTCAACGTATCTTTTGTGGGACACAGTTCATTCATTCCATAACACCTATATTGAGAATATAATTTAGAATGTAAATTTTCTTGACTTCCTCCTTTCCAATCTGGACGCCTTTTCTTTCATTTTCTTGCCTAACTGCCCCGGCTAGAACTCAGTTCAATATTGAACGGAAGTGGCTAGAACAGACATCCTTGTCTTGTTCCTGATCTTAGCGGGAAAGCATTCCATCTTTCACCATTAAGTCTGATGTTAACTGTGGGTTTTTCACAGATGGCCTTTATCAGCTTGAAAAAGTTCTTTCTTATTTCTAGTTTACCAAGATTTTATCATCAATAATGGATTTTGTATAATACATTTTCTGCATCTATTAAGATGATCATATGGTTTTTGTCTTTTATCTTATTGATATGATGTATTACATTAGTTGATTTTTGGATGTTAAACCAACCTTGTATTAGGAATAAATCCTACTTGGTTGTGGTGTATAATATTGAGGAGAGAAGCCATTTCTCTGACTGTCTCCTGTCTCTGAAGAGGAGGAGGAAGTAAAAGTTGAAAAACAACAGGAATGAAGTCAGTGGCAAGACCAGCCGGTGCCACTGATGACCTGACCTGAGGTTAAAAGATTAACTCCCCCACTCTAACCACATGTGCTCTCAATCAATCACGACCCTTTCACGTGGAACTCCTTAGAGTTGTAAGCCCTTAAAAGGGCCAGGAACTCTGTCTTCAGGGAGCTCGGCTCTTAAACGACGCGAGTCTGCCAACGCTCCTGGCCGAATAAAAAACCTCTTCCTTCTTTAATCCGGTGTCTGAGGAGTTGTGTCTGCGGCTCGTCCTGCTACAATATATGTATTTATTTATATATTTTTGGCTGCTTCTGCAGAGCAGGGCTACTCCCTAGGCAGAGTAGCCTGGTGTATAATCCCTTTAATATGCAGCTGAATTTGGTTTACTAGTACTTTGTGTCCATATGGCTGAGAGATATTGATCTGTATTTCCTTTTTTGTGATACCTTTGTCTGGTTTCAGTATCAAGGTACTACTGGTCTGTTTGCTATTGCTTGGTAGGACTCACCAGGAAAGCTAGCTGGACTTCAGCTTTTCTTTGTGGGGTGTTTTTTTGTTTTTTTGTTTTTTCTGAGACGGAGTCTTGCTTTGTCACCCAGGCTGGAGTGCAGTGGTGCAATCTCGGCTCACTGCAATCTCTGCCTCCCCGGTTCAAGCGATTCTCCTGCCTCAGCCTCCCAAGTAGCTGGGATTACAGGTGCCCACCACCACCCTCGGCTAATTTTTGTATTTTTAGTAGAGATGGGGTTTCACCATGTTGGCCAGGCTGGTCTCGAACTCCTGACCTCAGGTGATCCACCCACCCCAGCCTCCCAAAGTGCACCCAGCCTGTGGGGTGTTTTTTGATTACTAATTAAATCTCAGAGCCAGGTACAGTGGCTCACGCCTGTATTCCCAACATTTTGAGAGGTTGAGGCAGAAGGATCACTTGAGGCCAGGCATTAGAGACCAGCCTGGGCAACATAGGGAGACCCCCGTCTCTACAGAAATAATTAAAACTTGGCCAGATATAGTAGTGCACACCTGTAGTCCCAGATACTCAGGAGGCTAAGGTAGGAGGGTCACTTGAGCCCAGGAGTTTCAGGTTGCAGTGAGCTCTGATCACACCACTGCACTCCAGCCTGGGTGAGAGTGAGACCCTGTCTCAATATATATATATATAATTACTTGTTCTAGGTCTCTTTAGATTTTTATGTGAGTCCATTTTGGTAGTTTTGGTAGTTGTCTTTCTAGGAATCTGTTCCTTTCCTCTCAGTGATCGAATGTGTTGGTGTACGGTTATTCATAGTGTTCCCTATGATCCTTTCTACTTCAGCAAGGTCGGTAGTCATGACCCCTCTTTCATTTCTGAATTTAGTAATTTGAGTCTTGTCTTTTTCTTGGTTATTCTAGCTGAAAGTTTGTTAATTTTGTTCATCTTTTTAAAAAAACAGCTTTTGGTTTCATTGATGTTCTCTGTTATTTTCTTTTCTCTATTTTTTTTTCTATTTTCTTTGTTTGTTTGAGACAGGCTCTCACTCTGTTGCCCAGGCTGGAGTGCAGTGGCACAATCATGGCTCACCGCAGTCTCGAGCTCCTATGCTCGAGTGATCCTCCCCGCTCAGCCTCCCAAGTAGCTGGGACGACAGGCGCACATCACAACACTTGGCTGTTTTGTGGTTTTTTGCTTGTTTGTTTGTTTGTTTTTGAGACAGAGTCTCACTCTGTTGCCCAGGCTAAAGTACAGTGGCACAATCTCGGCTCACTGCAACCTCAGCCTTCCAGGTTCAAGCAATTTTCAGCCTCCTGAGTAGCTGAGATTACAGGTGTATGCCACCACGCCCAGCTAATTTTTTGTATTTTTAGTAGAGACAAGGTTTCACTATGTTGGCCAGGCTGGTCTCCAACTCCTGGCCTCAAGTGATCCGCCTGTCTCAGCCTCCCAAAGTGCTGGGATTACAGGCATGAGCCACTGCACCGGACCACACCTAGCTAATTTTTAATTTTTTTTGTAGAAACAGGATCTCACCATGTTGCCCAGGCTGGTCTCTAATACCTGGACTCAAGCGATCCTCCCACCTTGGCTTCCCAAAGTGTTGCAATTACAGGAACGAGCTACTGCGACTGGCCTTTTTCTACCTTTTTTTTGTTTGTTTGTTTTTGAGATGGAGTCTCGCTCTGTCGCCCAGGCTGGAGTGCTGTGGCGCAATCTCAGCTCACTGCAAGCTCCGCCTCCTGAGTTCAAGCGATTCTCCTGCCTCAGCCTTCCAGAGTAGCTGGGACTACAGGCTCCCCCGCCACCACGCCCGGCTAATTGTTTTGTATTTTTAGTAGAGACGGGGTTTCACCATGTTGGCCAGGATGGTCTCCATCTCCTGACCTCGTGATTCACCCGCCTTGGCCTCCCAAAGTGCTGGGACTACAGGCGTGAGCCACTGCGCCCAGCCCGTTTTTCTATGTTCGATTGCATTAATCTCCATTCTAATCTTTATTTTTTCTTCTGCTGCTTGTTTTAGGTTTACTTCACTCTTCTTTTTTCTCTGTTTTAAGGGGGAAGGTTAAGTTATTGGTTTGAGCTTGTTCTTTTTTAATGGAGGCATTTATAGCTATAAATTTCCATCTAAGCACCGCACTAGCTGCATCTCATATTTTGGTATGTTGTGCTAAATTTTTAAGTAAACTATTGTATGTTAAGTTATTGACTTGCATTTATGTGGGTACTAGTCACTGAAATTTTGAAGATAAAAACGTATAAAATGTATTACTCACCTTTAAGGAGTGAGAGTAACTTACTGAATAATTTCATGAAATAGTAGCTATGGATTAAGAATTACAGCATGTATAGAGTGTAAAGGTATTATGTATTAATTTCCTTCTCTTTTTTTTTTCCTTTTAGTTATTCATAACTAGGTATGTCTTACCATGGAGGCAGCAGGGCCAAATCTTGACCCCATTACATGTTTCCTGTAAGTTACCCGAATCACAGACATTGTGCTTAGGAGGAAACAGCCTTGATAGCCCTTATAAACTGAAGACCTGCTGTGTGAAATTTGCATCTTTCACTTCAGTGCATCACTGGTTCAAGTTTTTTGTTGTTGTTGCTGTTTTTGTTTTTTTGAGACAGAGTCTCGCTCTGTCGCCCAGGCCACAGTGCAATGGCACGATCTCGGCTCACTGCAACCTCTACCTCCCAGGTTCAAGCGATTCTCCTGCCCCAGCCCCCCGAGTAGCTGCAAATACAGGTGTGCGCCACCATGCCTGGCTAATTTTTTATTTTTAGTAGAGACAAGGTTTTGCCATGTTGGCCAGGCCGGTCTCGAACTCCTGACCTCAGGTGATCTTCCTGCCTCAGCCTCCCAAAGTGCTAGGCATGAAACACCACGCCCAGTGTCACTTCTATTTTTACAGAACCATTTTTAAGACCCATGGGTGGGATTAGCTCAATGATAAAGTATGTCCTTACATTTCCTAGGGATTGGAAAAACCAAAGGCTAAAAAGGGAAGCACTACAGTGAGCCTGTACCTCCTATGTTTCCCTCTGAAAAAGATACTTTTCTTTACCTTCTCCCAATTCCTTCTCTTACCGTACCCAACATCATTGTAGTACTAACCTTCTCTCGGTACCCAAGAATTCCCCTGCATTGCATGTTGGTCTCCTCTTTCCAGCAAAATCCTCCAAATTTCTCTTTATGTCTTGGGAGCTGGCACTCCCTCCTACTACCCTCTTCCCCCAAGGGAAGCTGACTTCACTGCCTCATTGAATTCACTGTAGGAAAACTTGACATTCAGGCTAATATTTCTCTGAGTACGTTTCCTTGCATAGCAACACTGCTTACTTACACACTTTTGCCGAGGAGTAGCCAGCCCTGGCATCTCCACCCTGGGGTATTTAGAGGCTGTTATCACAGCTCCCCTGGTTCACAGGCTGTGAAGGGAGTTGGGCACATTTCAGACTCGCTTCTCCCTCCATCCATGTACAGGCAGAGGCTGGAATCTGCCACTGTAGAGCAAAGCACAGGACAAGACACCAATCGATTCAAAGTACAGCTCAACCAGAAACTGTCCACACACCGAGCTGGAGTTTGAGCTATTCACACCCCTTAGCCCTAGTGCCACCCCCTCATCCTGTCCAGCCTGCTGCTTGCACAGCTGCAAAGGGGTTGCTCCTCCTCTCCCATGTCTGCTTCAGGCCATTAGTGAGATGCTTCAGGCCCTGGCTGCTGACAACAGGCCACCTTTGAGCTACCAGCCAGTGTATCTATTGTAGACTTAATTGGGGAACATTTTTTGACCTTTCAAAGTTAGTCATACCTTGAAGAGATTGCAGGTTTGGTTCTAGACCACTGCAATAAAGCAAATATTGCAGTAAAGTGAGTCACACAAATTTTTTGGTTTCCCAGTGCATATAAAAGTTATGCGGCGAGGTGCAGTGGCTCACACCTGTAATCCCAGCACTTTGGGAGGCCGAGGTGGGTGGATCACGAGGTCAGGAGTTCGAGACCAGCCTGGCCAATATGGTAAAACCCCGTCTCTACTGAAAATACAAAAATTAGCTGGGTGTGGTGGCGCGCGCCTGTAGTCCCAGCTGCTGGGGAGGCTGAGGCAGGAGAATCGCTTGAACCCGGGAGGCGGAAGTTGCAGTGAGCCGAGATCACGCCACTACACTCCAGCCTAGGCGACAGAGCAAGACTCTATCTCAAAAAAAAAAAAAAAGTTATGGGCTGGACACGGTGGCTCATGCCTGTAATCCCAGCACTTTGGGAGGCCGAGGCAGGCAGATCACCAGAGATCAGGAGTTTGAGACCAGCCTGGCCAACATGGTAAAACCCCACCTCTACTAAAAATACAAAAATTAGCCAGGTGTGGCGGTGCACCTGTAATCCCAGCTACTCGAGAGGCTGAGGCCTGAGAATTGCTTGAACCTGGGAGGCGGAGGTTGCAGTGAGCCGAGATCATGCCACTGCACTCCAGCCTGGGCAACAGAGCAAGACTCTTGTCGCAAAAAAAAAAAAAAAAAGTTATATTTCCCCACACATACAAAAAGCTGGGCACAGTGGCATGCACCTGTAGTTCCAGCTACTTAGGAGGCTGAGGCAGGAGGATCACTTGAGCCCAGGAGTTCAAGGCCATAGTGTACTTGACTGTGCCTGTGAATAGCTACTGCACTCCCAGCCTGGGCAACATAGTGAGACTTTGTCTCAAAAAAATGTTTTATTGGCTGAGTGCGGTGGCTCACGCCTGTAATCCCAGCACTTTGGGAGGCCGAGTCGGGTGGAACACGAGGTCAGGAGATCAAGATCATCCTGGCTAGCACGGTGAAACCCTGTCTCTACTAAAAATACAAAACATTAGTCGGGCGTGGTGGCGGGTGCCTGTAGTCCCAGCTACTCGGGAGGCTGAGGCAGGAGAATGGTGAGAACCCAGGAGGCGCAGCTTGCAGTGAGCTGAGATTGCGCCACTGTACTCCAGCCTGGGTGACAGAGCAAGACTCTGTCTCAAAAAAAAAAAAAAAAAAAGAACCCTAGGACTTTCAGAACAGTAAATGAGCGTTGGCTTCAACTTTAAGTCACCAGCTGCATTAGTTCCTAACAAGAAAGTCAGCCTGTCCTTTAAAACTTTGAAGCCAAGCGTTGACTTCTCTCTGGCCTTGGAGATACCTAGATGGCATCTTCTTCCAATAGAAGCCTGTTTCATCTATATTAGAAATGTGTTGTTTAGGGTAGCCACCTTCATCAGTTATCTGAGCTAGATCTTCTGAATCAGTTGATACAGCTTCTCCATCAGCACTTGCTGCTTCGCCTTGCACTTTTTTTTTTTTTTAATTGATCATTCTTGGGTGTTTCTCACAGAGGGGGATTTGGCAGGGTCATAGGACAATAGTGGAGGGAAGGTCAGCAGATAAACAAGTGAACAAAGGTCTCTGGTTTTCCTAGGCAGAGGACCCTGCGGCCTTCCGCAGTGTTTGTGTCCCTGGGTACTTGAGATTAGGGAGTGGTGATGACTCTTAAGGAGCATGCTGCCTTCAAGCATCTGTTTAACAAAGCACATCTTGCACTGCCCTTAATCCATTTAACCGTGAGTGGACACAGCACATGTTTCAGAGAGCACCGGGTTGGGGGTAAGGTCATAGATCAATAGCATCCCAAGGCAGAAGAATTTTTCTTAGTACAGAACAAAATGGAGTCTCCCATGTCTACTTCTTTCTACACAGACACAGCAACAATCTGATTTCTCTATCTTTTCCCCACATTTCCCCCTTTTCTATTCGACAAAACCGCCATCGTCATCATGGCCCGTTCTCAATGAGCTGTTGGGTACACCTCCCAGATGGGGTGGCCGCCGGGCAGAGGGGCTCCTCACTTCCCAGAAGGGGCGGCCGGGCCGAGGCGCCCCCCACCTCCCTCCCGGACGGGGCGGCTGCCGGGCGGAGGGGCTCCTCACTTCTCAGACGGGGCGGCTGCAGGGCAGAGGTGCTCCTCACTTCTCAGACGGGGCGGCTGCCGGGCGGAGGGGCTCTTCACTTCTCAGATGGGGCGGCCGGGCAGAGACGCTCCTCACCTCCCAGACAGGGCGGCGGGGCAGAAGCGCTCCCCACATCTCAGACAATGGGCGGCCGGGCAGAGACGCTCCTCACTTCCTAGACGGGATGGCGGCCGGGAAGAGGCGCTCCTCACTTCCCAGACTGGGCGGCCGGGAAGAGGGGCTCCTCACATCCCAGACAATGGGCGGCCAGGCAGAGACGCTCCTCACTTCCCAGACGGGGTGGCGGCCGGGCAGAGGCTGCAATCTCGGCACTTTGGGAGGCCAAGGCAGGCGGCTGGGAGGTGGAGGTTGTAGCGAGCCGAGATCACGCCACTGCACTCCAGCCTGGGCAACATTGAGCACTGAGTGAACGAGACTCCGTCTGCAATCCCGGCACCTCGGGAGGCTGAGGCTGGCAGATCACTCACGGTTAGGAGCTGGAGACCAGCCCGGCCAACACAGCGAAACCCCGTCTCCACCAAAAAAATACGAAAACCAGTCAGGCGTGGCAGCGCGCGCCTGCAATGGCAGGCGCTGGGCAGGCTGAGGCAGGAGAATCAGGCAGGGAGGTTGCAGTGAGTGGAGATGGCAGCAGTACAGTCCAGCTTTGGCTCAGCATCAGAGGGAGACCGTGGGGAGAGGGAGACCGTGGGGAGAGGGAGACCATGGGGAGAGGGAGAGGGAGAGGGAGAGCTTTGCCTTGCACTTTTATGTTATAGAGACGGTTCTTTACTTAAACCTCATGAACCAACCTCTGTTAGCTTCTAGCTTTTCTGCTGGAGCTTCCTTACCTCTGTTAGCCTTCAAAGAATTGAACAGGGTTAGGGCCTTGGTCTGGATTAGGCTTTGGCTAAAGGGAATGCTATGGCTGGTTTGATCTTCTATCTAGACCACTGAAACTTTCTCCATATCAGCAATAAGGCTGTTTTGCTCTCTTATCATTCTGTGTTCACTGGAGCAGCACTTTAAATGTCCTTCAAGAACTTTTCCTGGCCGGGCGCGGTGGCTCACACCTGTAATCCTAGCACTTTAGGCCGAGGCGGGTGGATCACAAGGTCAGGAGTTCGAGAGCAGCCTGGCCAATGTGGTAAAACCCTGTCTCTACTAAAAATACAAAAATTAGCTGGATGTGGGGGCGGGTACCTGTAGTCCCAGCTATTGGGAGGCTGAGGCAGGAGAATCGCTTGAACCCCAGAGGCAGAGGTTGTAGTGAGCTGAGATCGTGCCACTGCACTCCAGCCTGGGCAACAGAGCGAGACTCTGTCTTAAAAAAAAAAAAAAAGGCTGGGCGCAGTGGCTCACACCTGTAATCCCAGCACTTTGGGAGGCCGAGGCAGGCAGATCATGAGGTCAAGAGATCGAAATCATCCTGGCCAACATGGTGAAACCCTGTTTTTACTAAAAATACAAAAATTAGCTGGGCGTGGTGGCAGGCACCTGTAGTCCCAGCTACTTGGGAGGCTAAGGTGGGCGAATTGCTTGAACCCAGAAGGCGGAGTTTGCAGTGAGCCAAAATTGCACCACTGCACTCCAGCCTGGTGACACAGTGAGACTCCGTCTCAAAAAATAAAAAATAAAAAATAAATAAAACTTTTCCTTTGCTTTCACTTGGCTGTTTGGCACAAGAGACCTAGCTTTTGGCCTATCTTGGCATTCACCATGCCTTCCTTGCTAAGCTTAATCACTTCTAGCTTTTGATTTAAAGTGAGAGACCTGTGACTTATTTCACTTGAACACTTAGAAGCTATTGTAGGGTTATTAATTGGCCTAATTTCAATATTGTTGTATGTCAGGGAATAGGGAGGCCCAAGGAGCGGGGAAGAGATGGGGGAACTGTCAGTTGGTGGAGCAGTCAGAACACACACAACATTTATAGTTCCCTGTTTTTTGTGGGCTTTTATGCTCATGACACCTGCAAACAATTATAATAGTAACATCAAAGATTACTGAGCACAGATCACTAAAACAGATATAATGATAATGAAAAAGTTGGAAATATTGCAAGAATTACCAAAATGTGACACAGAGACATGAAGTGAGCCCATGCTGTTGGAAAAATGGCACCAATAGACTTTCCAGACTAACAGGGTTACCACAAACCTTCAATTTGTCAACAATGCAATATCTTTGAAGGACAATAAAGCAAAGTGCTATAAAATGGGCTATAACTATATACAGTTCTGTTATTATAGGTTTCAGTCCTGAGTATGGGTTATTCTGTAATTCAGGGAAGAAAAGAGACAGTAGAAAGATCAATAAGTGTAACACTAACACATTTTTTAACGTTTTTTTTTTTTTTTTTTTCTTGAGATGGAGTTTCACTCTTGTCACCCAGGCTGGAGTGCGGTGGCAGGATCTAAACTCACCACAACCTCCGCTTCCTGGGGTTAAGTGATTCTCCTGCCTCAGCTTCCCAAGTAGCTTGGACTACAGGTGCTTGCCACCATGCCCAGCTAATTTTTGTATTTTTAGTAGAGACAAGGTTTCACCATGTTGGCCAGGCTGGTCTTGAACTCCTGACCTCAAGTGATCCACCCGCCTCAGCCTCCCAAAGTGCTGGGATTACAGGCATGAGCCATCACGACCAGCCTAAAAGTTTTTAAGGAACAAAGATTACTTGACATAATTCTCACAAACATTATTTTTTGGCATATTGCTTTGTCATATTTGTAGATATTTTCTATTCTTGAAAAATATATATTTTTACACTCCTTTCCTGCATGCTGATATAGTTGAAAATATATATTTAATATTATAAATATTTCCCTAAGTTTCTATATAATCTGTATAAGAAATTTAAAGATTTCTTCATTTAAAGAAATGACTGCCTCGTTCATTGAGTCAGCATGTATAACAGATGTCATACCATTTCCTTGTTGCATGTTAAGTTTTTGCTGGCAAAATCATTAGGGTAGAGAGGGTGCCAATGAACACAGTGCTCCAAAGGGGGGTGGTCAGGGTGCCACAGTGCAGGCTGCTGGTGCCCACTGCCAGGTGAGGGCTGGAGTATGATGCTCCACACAAGCCACTCACCTGCCTTATCAGAGACCTACCCTGGTTCTATGTACATCAACTCACGCTTCATCCTCAAGAAAAAAAAAAAAACTCAAGGAAAGAAAAAAATGTTGAGGCTTGTGTCATCTGTAGTATTGGATGAATCAAATGGTGCCCTCCCAGGGTACAAGAGCCAGAGCCCACTGGTCGCCAAATGATGAAACTTCTACTGGGACCCAGGAAGAGCATGGCTGTGGCAGGCGTTTCTGAGAGGGGACTGGGGAGTGGACTGTGCTGGGGACTGACCTGGGTCATGTGATGACCTCCTGCTCCCCCAGTTCTTTATGTCATAGCTGCAGCCACGTGCCCCTGGCATCCCCCTACTGCTGATCACGGGGGAGTTCGTGAGCCTTCAGTCTGTGATTCTCAAACTCCATGTGGTAGGAGCTTCCTTGGGGAGGGGCACTGAAAGTATAGATTCTCAGTCCTGGCCCTTGGATGGGTAGGTCTGGGATGGAGCCAGGACAAATACACCAATTTTCCTGATACAATGATCAAGCAGGTGTGAGACGCTGCCTTGGGACCTAGCTCAGGGACTTGTAACAAGACAATTTTCAGGCTGGAAGCGGCTCCTGAGGTTACAGCTGGGTTTCTACCAGTGGACTCTGCCTAGTTCCCAAGAAATGGGGATCTGCTTAACTCCCTCTGCCCTCCCAAATCCCAGCTGGGCCCAACTGCCGGCTCAGAGACCTCCATGATACCATCTGCTCGAATGTGGGACACAGCCTTGCCACAGAAGCCGTCATTATTCTGCCGGGCCACTGGGGAGCCCACCAGGTGACAGTCACCCATCTGCCTCCTCTTCTATCTTCTAAGCCCCTCTTCCCACCCCCACCCCACACACCCTGAGTCCTGTAGAGGACCTTCTCGCCCCTGCTGGATGCACTCGCGCTGCCTCCTCCATGCTGCCCCCGTGCTTGTCTTACCTCTGCATGCCAATTCCTCTCAGCTGGGCCCACTCTGCCTCTGAGAGAGCTGCTCTCCAGTGAGAACCCAAAACAGCCAGGCCTGGAGCTATAGCGAGGGCCCTGTTTGGCAGCTGCTGGGTCTACTTCCAGCTCCTGTTTTGTCAGCCTTTCTAAGGAACAGCATTGGGGCCTTCATGGATCACCTCCAAAATTACACCTTTCCAGATCTGTGCTTTTTTTTTTTTTTTTTTTTGAGACAGAGTCTCACTCTGTTGCGCAGACTGAAGTGCAGTGGCAGGATCTCGGCTCACTACAGCCTCTGCCTCCTGGCTCAAGTGATCCTCCCACTTCAGCCTCCCGACTAGCTGGGACTACAGGTGCTGGCCACCACGTCCAGCGAGTTGCTTTTTTTGTTTGGTGATGGCGTTTCACCATGTTGCCCAGGCTGGTCTCAAACTCCTGGAATCAAGCGACCTGCCTGCCTCAGCCTCCCAAAGTCTTGGGATTACAGGTGTCAGCTACCGTGCCCACCCTGTGCTTTTTTTTTTTTTTTTTTTAAAGAATCAGGGTCTCACTCTGTCACCCAGGCTGGAGTGCAGTGGTGCAACTATAGCTCACCGAAGTCTCAAACTCCAGGACTCAAGCAATCCTTGCCCCCAGCCTCCTGAGTAGCTAAGACTACAGACAAACCCCCAAACCAGCTAATTAAAAAAAAATTTTTTTGGCTGGGTGTGGTGGCTCATGCCTATAATCCCAGCACTTTGGGAGGCAGAGAGGTGGGTGGATCACCTGAGGTCAGGACTTCAACACCAGCCTGGCCAACATAGTGAAACGCCATCTCTACTGAACATACAGAAATTAGCTGGGTGTGCTGGTGCATGCCTATAGTCCCAGCTTCTCAGGAGGCTGAGGCAGGAGGATCTCTTGAACCTGGGAGACAGAGGTTGCAGTGAGCCAAGATTGTGCCACTGCATTCCAGCCTGGGTGACAGAGCAAGATTCTGTCTCAAAAAAAAAAAATTTTTTTTTTTTTTAGGCAGAGTCTCACTATGTTGCCCAGGATGGTCTCAAACTCGTGCCTCAGCTTCCTGGTGCTCTTGTTTGTGTTCCTGCCCAGGGTATTAGGATATCTCTGGGCTGAAGACATTCAGGCCACACTACCCAGCGGTCTCTTGCTGTCTTCAGTCATCCACCCTTCAACATTTACAAACAGATGAACACTAGGCTAAATATACAGTTAGTGTTACCGTCAGGCAAAGCAAATGAATACCAGCCATTTAATGATGCCTTCTTTTCGTTCTGCTATATGGTATTTAATAAGCTCTAGTTACAGTGATATATTGCTGGTGACTCAGATACTTATTTGTAAATTAGCCCTGACCCCTGATTCATAAACCAATAAAATATGAACTTGTAATTTATTGTATGTACCCGCAGTGAGCCTGTTTCACCACTAGAAGGCAAAGGTGCGGTGTTTCTGCCTTTTTCTTTTTCTGGGTAGTTTAAAGCTAATGCGCCAGTGAGCAGAGGAGTCCCAGGTTCCTGGAGTCTGAAAGGGCATGGGAGGCAAAGAAATGGGCGGTTATTATTCAAGGGATACAACATTTCATCTGCGGATGATGGAAAAGTTCTGGGGATGGATGGTGGTGATGGCTGCACAGCAATATGAATCTAATTCATGCCACTGAACTGCACACATAAAAATGGTTACAATGATAAATTTTATGTATATATATTTTACCACAATTTTTTTTTTTTGAGATGGAGTCTCGCTCTGTCACCCAGGCTGGAGTGCGGTGGCATGATCTCGGCTCACTGCAAGCTCCACCTCCCGGATTCACACCATTCTCCTGCCTCAGCTTCCCGAGTAGCTGGGACTACAGGCGCCCGCCACCACGCCTGGCTAATTTTTTGTATTTTTACTAGAGACGGGGTTTCACCGTGTTAGCCAGGATGGTCTCGATCTCCTGACCTCGTGATCCGCCCACCTCGGCCTCCCAAAGTGCTAGGATTACAGGCGTAAGCCACCGCGCCCGGCCTATTTTACCACAATTTTTAAAAATTAAAGCATATTTATCGCTGAAAATCTCAGCTCCGGGTTGTTAACGTCTTGTCTTTTAAAACAGCTGTCTGCTCACTGATACCCGCCCAAGAAGCCCACTCCCGGGCATAGGGACAGCCCTGCTGTCTGGCTTGGCAAGCAGGAGACCTCAGAAAAGGCTAGCTGTCTCCAGCATGTCCTTGAAAACTCCTAAGAGCCCTCATGTCCCAACCTTCCATTACCGTCACCGTGTGGGTCTCCAGCCTGGATAATCACCATCGTATGCTGCCTCAGCCTGACACCGCCAGCATTGATGGGGAGAAGCAACGTGCCAGCTGGCTCTGCTGTGGCCTCAGTGCTATGGCGCCCAGCAGGGACCTCTCTGTTGCTTGGCGAGCCTATTTTTCCCAGCTCAGGTGGAATCAGTAGCTCATTTTTCACTGTGACTCTTCCAAAGTTTTCTGCTTTAAGCTTTCACTTTTCAATATCCCCATCATGCCCACAGCAAAATATCTCCTTTCCTATTTCTCTTACCTCATCATGTTCTTATCCATCTTGTCTCCATCCACCCTTTTTGTTTTTCTTTGAGCTGATGCCCCAGGGCAACAACAGCCTTCTACAACCCCCTCCATTCCCTATTTCCACTCAGCATCAGTGATGTTATATATTGGGATTCTGAATACAGTTTGTCTGAAAGTTTCTGTTGCTTAAAAACATTTTTTTCATGGTATTGCCTTGGAGCCTCAAGTGTGTGTCTCCTGAGGAAGCTGACTCACCAATGCCCCAGTCCCCTTTCCTGCAAACACTGATTATGTGATGCTGACATAATCTTTATCCACCAACCTCTTACCTGCAAACATACTCAGAGGCACACACCCTAAAAAACACTTCCCTTGATCTTGCTAAGGCATTTAGCTTGCCATCCCAGCTCTCCTCTCCCTATCATCAAACTTAATGAAAAACTGTCCCCACTTTGTGGCTGTGCTCTCAACTCCTTATGCCCTGGCTTCTGCCCCACCCCAAACCTTTCTTCTGAGGACCCGTCCCCACCCCAGCTGCCCTACCCAGCTGCACTCCCTGCACCCCCCACAGCCGACATTCTCTTTGTCCCAGGCTTTAGGGCGCTGGTCTCCTCTGACCCCTGTCACCATCACCGGTTTTGCCAACATTTGTTCTCCTTCTAACACCTGAACATCCTTCTTGAAGTTTCTGCCTTCAGTATTCTTAGACACTTCTACCTTTTCAGCTGCAGCCTGTTCAGTGAATAGCTCCCAAATCTAACCCTGACTGCTCCCCCAAGCTCACGTCTAAACTTCAGCTGCTTGTAGGACATGGTCGCTTGCATTTAACTCACTGCATTCCAAGCCCCTTCCTTCTGGATTTTCTGTTCCCATCGTCAGCATCACTAGTGCTCTGTCTCCCAGGCTTTAAGCCCGGGAAAAGTGAGTTAGTGAATCCTACCGATCCTGCCCCTGCGGTGCTGCTCACGCCTGTCTTTTCCTTTCCGTTCAGCTGCTGAAATCCGAGCCCAATCAAACTCTCATCACTTCTGTGCCTTGCTTCCTGGCCTCATGTCTTCCCTGCTCTGGTTCTTCTTCCTGCTCCTGGTACTGTGCATTATTCTAAAGCACAGCCAGGCAGACCATTCACAGTGTGGGCCCTCCCGGCCCCAGCCTCCCTCTCCTCCTGCGTCTCTTACTGTGCTCTCTGGCTCGGCTCAGCTGAACCGCTCACCACTGCCTAAGTGCACCGTGGCTCTCCCACCTTTGCTTTTTGGCTTACACTGGCTACTCAGCTTGAACTGCCTTCCGCAGGCAGCATCTCTGTCTGACAAAACCCTTCAAGACCCATTGCAAGTGACCCTTCCAGCTGGACATGATCTCTTCCTGCCTTTGGTAGCACTGGTTTCCCACCTTAAATGTCCTGACTTGTAGCATAGCCTCTCTGCCCCTCCCCTCCCACCGAGTTGCAAGCTCCCTGCCGCAACAACCGCATCTTACTCATTTTTGTTATCCTCTTCAGGGTCTTATACAAAGTGGTTGCTCATTAATGTCAACCGGTTTGAATGGAAATGATCTTCACTGTTGATGGGAGGATGAGGTGATATCTCTTTTCTTGGTGCCTCTCTCTGGTTTCCAGCAACAAAAACACTTTGGTCAGGTGTTCTCTGGTCAGCGCAGGTTCCATTTTGTCAGATCTCCTGCCAGAACTATTGTGAGTAAAAGGTGGGTGCCTGAGGGCCTCTGAATTGCCTCGTTACTGTCTCCCTGGCTCCCCTCTGTGATGTGGCTCTGGGTGGCATTAATGACCCTGACTGGGCAGGGACTCCTGGTCAGCCCCTCTTGGTCCCCAGTGGGGCTCTTGGATGCTACCGGAGAGGCTCATGTCTGTGTTGGGGATCCTGCCAGCTTGGGCTCCAGGCCAAGCCCAGACCTGCTGTGCAGTGGTGCTGGGGCTATGGGCAAGGGCTTTCTTATTCTCCCACAGGAACACCTGGTCAGTCACTACAGCGGAAGACACAGAGACGTTAGAGGGTCTTTTGAAAGACTTATTATAGGCTGGTCCAAAGGCAGCTAGTTATCTCAGCTGATTGTTCACAGTCAGTCACGGATCGAAGTCTTTGTTGAACTCTTTCCCTCCTTCTCATTACTGTACTTGACCAGTCTAAAAATAATAAAAAGCCTGGTTGGCTGTGGTGGCTCATCCCTGTAATCCCAGGACTTTGGAAGCTGAAGTGGGAGGGTCGCTTGAAGTCAGGAGTTGGATACCAGCCTCAGCAACATGGCAAGACCCTATCTCTTTAAAAAAAAAAAAAAAAAAAAAAACACTAGCCAGGTGTGGTGGCATGCACCTATAGTCCCAGCTACTTGGGAGGCTGAGGTGGGGGGATCTCTTGAGCCTACGAGTTTTAGGCTGTACTGAGCTATGATCGCTTCACTGCACTCCAGTCTCAATGACAGAGACCCTGTCTCTTAAAACAATAAATTTTAAAAAGCCTTATTATAAGGATAACCTAATAAGAGCCTTAAGGAAAATAATGTGTTTTTAAAAACCCTTCAATATAATCTCATCTCTTTTTTCTTTTTTTTTTTAGACAGAGTCTTACTCTGTCACCCAGGCTGGAGTGCAGTGGCACAATATCAGCTCACTGCAACCTCCACCTCCCAGGTTTTCAAGCAGTTCTCCTGCCTCAGCCTCCTGAGTAGCTGGGACTGCAGGTGTGCACCACCACGTCCAGCTAATTTTTTTTGTATTTTAGTAGAGAAAGGATTTCACCATGTTGGTCAGGCTGGTCTCAAACTCCTGACCTCAGGTGATCCGCCTGCCCTGGCCTTCCGAAGTGCTGGGATTACAGGTGTGAGCCACCGTGCCTGGCCTCAGCTCTTTTATTCAGCTATTTTCATATTTGCATGTTCCCTTCTAACCTTTGCCCCTATGCATTTTCTATTTTCAGATAGGCCTAGAAATAGTATAGGATAATATTTTGCTTTCTTCATTTATTATGAAATCACAAACACTCACCCATGATTTTACAGCTTTCATAATAATCCTTAATGGCTGTATAATATTGCACAGGGGATAATTTATTCTTTTTATTAGACATTTAGATTGTTTCTAATTTTTTACCTTAGAGGTGATGCAGGTAACTTTTATCTTATGTTTTATTACTTCTCTGGGATTACAAAGTCACCAGATGAATGTTTTTATGACTCTTGATTCTTATCCCTACCTGCTTTTTATAGGGTTGTACTGATTTATAGATAATAGTATTTCAGTGCTCCCATTATCCATTGTATTGCTAATGCCTATTCAGATTCAACAAATATTTGATTTCTTATTATGTGGAAGTCACTTTCATATTTAATTGTGCATTAAAATCTTTTTCTAGAACCTAGCTGGGTGTGGTGGCTTACACCTGTACTCCCAGCACTTTGGGAGGTTAAGGCGGAAGGATCGCTAGAGCCTAGGAATTCCAGACCAGCCTAGGCAACATGGTGAGATCCTGTCTCTACAAAAAATGTTTAAAAATTGGGCATGGTGGTGCTCTCCTGTAGTCCCAGCTACTCAGGAGGCTGAGATGGGAGGATTGCTTGAGCCCAGGAGGCTGAGGCTGCAGTGAGCCATGATTGCGCCACTGCACTCCAGGCTGGGTGACAGCATGAGACTCTGTCTCAAACAACCAAACAAAAATAGAATCTTAGGCCGGGCACAATGTCTCATGCCTGCAGTCCCAGCACTTTGGAAGGCCGAGGCTGGTGGATCACTTGAGGTCAGGAGTTCGAGACCAGCCCGGCCAACATGGTGAAATCCCACCTCTACTAAAAATACAAAAATTATCCAGGCATGGTGGCAGGCACCTTAATTCCAGCTAGTCGGGAGGCTGAGGCAGGAGAATTGCTTGAACCTGAGAGGCAGAGGTTGCAGTGAGCTGAGATCACACCATTGCACTCCAGCCTGGGTAACAAGAGTGAGACTCTGCCTCAAAAAAAAAAAAAAAAAAAAATAGAATCTTAGACTGTCAGAATTGAAGGACATCTGCTCATTTTACAAATAAGGTGAGACCCAGATAAATTATGTACTTTATTCATTGTTTGAAAACAATAGCACATATATAGTAAATGTAAATTTCTGGACCTTGAGCCTCGCACTTGCTACCACACTCAGCTGTTACAGTTTTGGTGTTTCTTTATATTCTGTAATATGTGCAGCGAGAATGACAGCACGTGTTTGTCCTCTGGCCAGCACCCCTCTGAGAGTCTCCTCCATGGCATATGTTTGGGCAGTAGAGGTGGAATTGCTCTGGATCTTTTTTTTTGAGACGGAGTCTCGCTCTGTCACCCAGGCTGGAGTGCAGTGGCGCGATCTCAGCTCACTGCAGCCTCCACCTCCCAGGTTCAAGTGATTCTCCTGACTCAGCCTCCCAAGTAGCTGGGATTACAGGTGTGTGCCACCACGCCTGGATAATTTTTGTATTTTTAGTAGAGGCGGGGTTTCACCATGTTGGCCAGGCTGGTCCTGAACTTCTGGCCTCAGGTGATCTGCCTGTCTCGGCCTCCCAAAGTGCTGGGATTCCAGGTATGAGCCACTGTGCCCGGCCTGCTCTGGATCTTTAAGACCCCACGGTTAAGTTAAGACCTCTATTAAATAATGAAAGACTTGGCCAGGCGCTGTGGCTCACACCTATAATCCCAGCACTTTGGGGGGCTGAGGCGGGTGGCTCACCTGAGGTCAGGAGTTCGAGACCAGCCTGACCAACATGGCAAAACCACGTCTCTACTAAAAATACACAAATTAGCTTGGCATGCTGGTGGGTTCTTGTAATCCCAGCTACTCAGGAGGCTGGAGCAGAAGAATCGCTTGAACCCAGGAGGTGGAGGTTGCAGTGAGCCAAGATCGCGCCATTGCACTTAAGCCTGGGTGACAAGAGCGAGACTATGTCTCAAAAAAAAAAAAAAGGAAGACTTAATGGTACTGCCTTCTAAAAGGGGCCATCGCTGTTCCTCCTTGACATAGTCCCTGCAGACTGTCATAAGTGTCAAGTGGCCTCAATGCCGTCTGTCCCCCATGCCTTTTCTTTTCTTTTTTTTTTTTTTTTGAGATGGAGTCTCGCTCTGTCGCCCAGGCTGGAGTGCAGTGGCGCGATCTCAGCTCACTGCAAGCTCCGCCTCCCGGGTTCACACCATTCTCCTGTCTCAGCCTTCCCAGTAGCTGGGACTACAGGCGCCCGCCACCACGCCCGGCTAATTTTTTGTATTTTTAGTAGAGACGGGGTTTCACCGTGTTAGCCAGGATGGTCTCGATCTCCTGACCTCGTGATCCGCCTGCCTCGGCCTCCCAAAGTGCTGGGATTACAGGTGTGAGCCACCACGCCCGGCCCCCCCTTGCCTTTTCTTATGTCTCTACCTTCTCTTGCGATGCCAGGAATGCCCTTTCTCTACCTCCCCGTGTGCTAACCCTCTCTGATCCTTAAGCACTAGCTCCACCAAGAAGGCTTTTTTTGTCTTTTCTTTATTTTTTTTAAACGGGGTCTCACTCTGTTGCCCAGGTTGGAGAGCAGCATACAATCATGGCTCACTGCAGCCTCAGCTTCCCAAGCTCAGGTGATCCTCCCACCTCAGCCTCCCTAGTAGCTGAGACTACAGGAATGTGCCACCATGCTTGGCTAATTTTTGTATTCTTTATAGAATTTGCCATATTGTCCAGGCTGGTCTCAAACTCCTGGGCTCAAGCAATCCACCTACCTCGGCCTCCCAAAGTGCTGGGATTACAGGTGTGAGCCACCGCGCCCAGACAAGAAGGCTTTTTCAGTCTTCCTGTGTATTGGTTATCTATTGCTGTCTAACAAAACCATCCTGAAACTTTTTACCTCACTAACAAGGATCTATAATGATTTATAATTTGATATGATTCTGTGGATTGGCTGAATGTGCCTGAAAACAGTCATTCACCATAGGGTAACCCCATCTAATGGTCCAAGATATCTATCTAGCAGTTGTTGCTGGCTGCCACCAGGGGTACCTCGGTTTTCCTAAATGTGGCATCTCCTCCTCCAGTGGACCAGACTGGCTTACCTTCATGGCAGTCTCAGGACAATGTTCCAAGAGGACAAGACCCACTGTGCAAGTGCTTGCAAGTGTCTGGTTGTGTGATGTGTGCCATTCTCCCTCAGCCAAAGCAAATCACAAGGCCAAGGTCAGATCCATGGGAGAGGCTTATCCATGATTCATTGGACCATTACTCGAACAATCAACTACAGTTCTCCCTGGGTCACAAATGGCTCACATCCCTCCCACATGCTAAACACACTCACTGTTTACAGATCGCTTGTGATCTCATCCAATCATGGCCCCAGGTTCAAAGTGTAGGGTCTCATGATCTGTACCAGGCTCAGATGTGGCCCTGGTGCTCAGGTGCAGTTCCTTAGATGGCTCCTCTTGATCTAAAAGACAAAGCCTGGGTGATAGAGTGAAAGCCTGTCTCAGAAAAAAAGACTACCAGCCGGACGCGGTGGTTCGCGCATGTAATCCCAGGGCTTCAGGAGGCCAACGTGGGCAGATCACAAAGTCAGGAGATCGAGACCATCCTGGCCAACATGGTAAAACTCCATCTCTACTAAAAATACAAAAATTAGCTGGGTGTGGTGGTGCGTGCCTGTAATCCCAGCTACTTGCAAGGCTGAGGCAGGAGAATCGCTTGAACCTGGGGGATCTGACATTGCAGTGAGTTGAGATGGCGCCACTGCACTCCAGCCTGGTGACAGGGAGAGAGTGCATCTCAAAAAAAAAAAAAAAAAAAAGAGTGAAAGTATCCCCTCCCTCATGCACTCAGCACACAATGGTGAGACAGGCATGGGAAAACCTCAGTAAATACTCAACATTCACAACGGGGAGGAATGGGGGTGCATAGGAATTCTGCAAATCTGAAATGAACAGGACTCATTGTCAAGGCCTTCCGCCTTGGAGCTGAGGACTGCTTTTGAGTGACCGCCCTGTTAGCTCCTGGGAAATGATTTCTTAGTCCATTGTTGTCTTTGGCCCTTAGCTTTGCCCTCTGGGCTTTTGGCTCCATCTTCTGAGATGTACTTCCTTTTCTATAAGAATTGGCTTGTGTCAGTAGCAGCTTTCTCAACCTGTTTTCTTTTGCCCTTAGAAAATTTGGGACCCAGATGTCTTTTTCATTTTGAACTGTCTCTGTCCCACAACTCCCTTAACACTTTGTCAGCTTTTTATGTATCAGAAAATAGTCCACTCGGCCAGGCATGGTGGCTCACGCCTGTAATCCCAACACTTTGGGAGACCGCGGTGACCGGATCACTTGAGGTCAGGAGTTCAAGATCAGCCTGGCCAACATGGTGAAACCCCATCTCTACTAAAAAAAAATACAAAAGTAGCTGGGTGTGGTGGTGGGTGCCTGTAATCACAGCTGCTCGGGAGGCGAGGCAGGAGAATTGTTTGAACCTGGGAGGCAGAAGTTGCAGTGAGCTGAGATAGCGCTACCGCACTCCAGCCTGGGCGATGGAGTGAGACTCTGTCTCAGTAAATAAACAAATAAATAAATAAATAAATAAACGAATGAATAAATAAAATAGAAAAGAAAGAAAATAGTCCACTCAATTAGACAAAAGCCATAGCCACGATTATTTTAGAGCTGGTCCTCCCTCTACTTTGGGC